>NC_000004.12:130133502-130436532 GCF_000001405.40 Homo sapiens | reverse complement strand
GCAGTTGGCTATGTCTTTGTACCTGGACTTGAAATGTATATCCAGATGATGCATTTTTAGGAATTCTTAGAAAATTTACTTTAATTCCACAATGTTCTGGAAATAGTAACATGAGACTATAACATCTCCTTCCTCTTATTCATCCAGAATTATCTTAAATATATAGATATGAAAATCAAAGTTTCTATGTATAAAATTTGTTTTATATATATATATAATTATTATTTTCTATCAGCTCAAATTTTATTATGTTCATAGAGCCAGGGCTTTGAGGCCATCTGTATGTGTGATGTATTACACATAAAAATTTAAGTGAGTGCAATTATGAGGGATCAATCCATATAATCTTTCAACCTTTTCAAAAGACTTGTGTGAAGAGACAAAAGAAATCTCTCACTGAAGAAAGAATGGTTTCATTCAAACTTCTTTTTATGTGCACTAATGCTTTCAATGTTTGAGAACTATTATTCCATATGATTATTAAAATAAAATACCAATTTCACTATTAAAGAAAACATGTGATTTACCCACTCTTTTACAATCTTAAATAAAATGATAACTATTATAGTCCCTATGTAGCTGTTATTTTTTTTTTTTTAAAAAGCCTAAGGTTCCCTAAATCGCCAAGTTTTCCAGCAACACATGTAAAAAAACATATTTGTGCTGCAATTTAAATGGACTAGTAAAAAGAACGTTCAACCATTTGGAGCTGAAATATTCATGAGCTACTCAGAGAACAATGAAACTAAATATCTTCAGATGTCCTAGAGGAACAAGAGTCAAGGAAACGCATGAGTAATGAGAGACTATTCTATTTTAAACTTTTTCTTTATTCATCCTTTTTTCCCATTAGATGATAATATACAATTTAATCTTGCTACATTATGAATAGAACGTGACAAGCTCACTAGTCTATGCTAAAAATTCTATCAAAGCTTTTGACATAGTTTAATTCTACACTTTTAGGGATACTGGGACTTTACTTGGTCTTAAATATTTAATTGGGTAACTAGAATTATGGCTAAAATTGCCCTTATCTAGGTAAACATTGAGGAATATCTAATGGATTATCTTCAAGTAAAACATTTTAAAAAATTCATATCTACTTTAAGTTTTACTAATACACTATCTTAATAGGATAAGAACCCAGACTTTTGAAAATTATAACCCATGTTATCTCTACAAACATTCTTCAGCAAATAATAATTACCATTCATTTGAGTTAGTCTTACATAGTTACATATCCCTATTTTTAATTTCAAATCAGCTATACAGTTTCTTAAATTCCCTAGTATAAGTGTCATAGACATAAAAAGAAAGTTTGAAAAGAGCATTTGAATATTTGGGAGCTTTAATCAGATTATAATTCTCAAAAAGGATAATTTTTAAGTGCAAATTGGTCTAGTTGAAAAAAGAACGATTATGTCTGTTTTTTTCATAAGCTCAGTGACATTTAAAAAAGTCTATCATGTAAAACTTTCATTCTTTTATTTTTAAAGTTGAATTGGAGTCTTCACTCCTCACTCCTCGCACTTGCAAATCTGCCTTTGTTCCTTGATCTTTTTCTTAGTCTGTTTTACTACCTTCTCAGTTTCTTCAGATCAGAAATCTGTGAGTGTCTTACTAATGCAAAATCTTCACTGTCACTTTCTTTGGTAAACTTCTATCATCCTTTCTCTAGGTTATATTGCAGTAGTTATAATCACTGTGCCTAGAAAACCATACAGCCTCCAACTGATATCTCCTTCACAATTTTGACCCCAACAATATGACCCTTTCACGCAGAACACAGAGTGCTTAAAGAAATATATTTTGTCTCACAACTACACTAATTAAAAAGGCTGATGATATGTAAACCAAAAAGTATCTGAGAGAGTCTCAGTCAGTTTAGAAGTTTATTTAGGCAAGGTTAAGGACATGCCTATGACATAGCCTAGGAGTTTCTGAGAACATGTGCCCAAGGTTGTTAGTTTACAGATTGATTTTATACATATTTAGGGGGACAGAAGTTACAGGCAGACATTAATCAACACATAAAAGGTATACATTGTTTTGCTCTGGAAAGGCAGGACAACTCAAAGTGGGGGCTTCCAGATCATAGGTGGATTCAAAGATTTTCTGATTGGCAATGGGTTGAATGAGTTAAGTTATTAGCTAAAGAGCTGGAATCAATAGAAAGGAATGCCTGGATTAAGAGAAGACGTTGTGGGCCTGGCACGGTGGCTCATGTCTGTAATCCCAGCCCTTCGGGAGGCTGAGGTGGGTGGATCACCTGAGGTCAGGAGTTCAAGACCAGCCTCACCAACATGGAGAAACTTCATTTCTACTGAAAAATACAAAATTAGCCGGGCATGATGGTGCATGCCTGTAATCCCAGCTACTTGGGAGGCTGAGGCAGGAGAATCACTTGAGGGACAGAGGTTGTGGTGAGCTGAGATCACACCATTGCACTCCAGCCTGGGCAGCAAGAGCAAAACTCCATCTCAAAAAAAAAAAAGAGAGAAGACATTGTGGAAACCAACTTTTTTTTATGCAGATGAAGCCTCCAGGTAGCAGGCTTCAGAGAGAATAAATGCTAAATGTTTCCTATGAAACTTATAAAGGTGCCAGACTCTTAGTTAATCTCTCCTCAATCAGGGAAAGACCTGGAAAGGAAAGGATTCTATACAGAATGCAGATTTCCCCACAAGAGATAGCTTTATAGAGCCAGTTTAAAGTATATCAAAGAAATATATTTGGGCATAAAATACTTTGATTTCTTTCAAGGCTTGCTATCTGTCGCTTGATGTCATTACTATAGTGAGTCTGTTTAAGTCAGTCTTAAGATCTCTCTTTTAATGTTAAAGGTGGTCAGCTTTGCCTGAATTCCAAAGTGAGGAAGGTACAATGACACATGTTCGACTGCTCCTACCCATCATGGCCTGAACTAGTTTTTCAGGAGTACTTTGGAATGTCTGTGGCCAAGAGGGATGTCCATTCAATCATTTGGGGATGTTACCAGTGAAATGTATCTGAGTTACGTGGCACCAAATTGTGTTAGCCATGGTGAATCTGTACCGGTCTGCAGCAAGCTCAGTTTTTGCTTCCTCAGAAGAAAGAATTGGACTGAGAGGCATAGGCAGAAGGAAAGACCAAGGGAAGTTTTAGAGCAGGAGTGAAAGTTTATTTGAAATCTTTAGAGAAGGAATGAAAGGAAGTACACTTGGAAGAGGGCCAAGCGAATGATTTTAGAGATCACTTCCGCAGTTTAACCTCTTGACTTGGGGTTTTATTTGTGGGGTCTTGCGTTGCTTTTGCCCTGATTCTTCCTTTGGCGTGGGCTGTCTGCATGTGCAGTGGCCTGCTAGCACTTGGGAGGGGAGCAAGAGCAGTCAGTTATTGGAGTTGTATGCATGCTCACTTGAGGTGTTCTTCCCTTAACTGTGAAAGGAAAATACCTTGGGCCCCGAAATCACTAAGCTAAAAGGGGACGTCAAACTAGGAATTGCTTAGAGCAAACCTGCCTCCCATTCTATTCAAAGTCACCCCTCTGCTCACTGAGATGAATGCATATCTGATTGCCACTTTTGGAAAGGCTAATCAGACACTCAAAATAATGCAACCATTTGTCTCTTATCTACCAATGACCTGAAAGCCCCTCCCCGCTTTGAGTTGTCCCACCTTTCCAGACCGAAGCAATGTTCGTCTTACATATGTGAATTGATGTTTCATGTCTCCCTAAAATGTATAAAACCAAATTGTGCTCTGACCATCTTGGGTGCATGTTGTCAGGACCTCCTGAGGCTGTGTCACAGCCACGTCTCCTCAACCTTGGCAAAATAAACTTTCTAACTAAGACCTGTCTCAAATTTTGGGGGTTCACACCAGTCATTTATCCCTGGGATGTCATATACCTATTAAACGCCACCATTTTGCCTCTTAGTGCACATGCTTGATCCCACTCGCCCAACTCCTGAGATCTTACTAGGAAACTGCTGATCACCAGTTTCGGGTATTTTTATCTATTGGGAGACTGCTTTTCTCTTGTGCCAGTTGCAACCAATTATTTTAGACAGACAGTACGATAACTGCCTGGCCATCATCTGATAGTTGCCAGACCTTCCTGGCAGGGTTGAGGGAGCCCTTTCCTGCCCTGCTCATGCCTGAGTAGCTAACTACTGTAACAGGGGCTTCAAAATTTATTTTTTGTTTACAAATGTATCAAGAGACAATTCTCCATAATATTTCCGTAAGTCTTCTATTACCTTTTTTTCCTGATTACCTTTTTAATGATGTATATATCATAAACAGTCATGAAAGATGAAATGGTGTCTTTCTCTGGGAAACAGAGGAGATTTATTGTCTATCCAGAATTAAAAAAAAAAAGTCTATGGCTAAGGTAAGCCAGGTTGGCAGCCTCCTTTACAAAATATGGGCTTCCTAGATTTGGAATCCCTTAGCTGTGACACAAACACATTGTATGGGCAGCATCCCCTTGTGCCTGCTTCTGCATTGCTCCTGTGAGTCTTGGGAGACACAAAAAATATATGTAAACATAAAACAACTGCTGCCTGCTGTGCTGTAAGTAATAGTCTTTTTACGCAGCTCCAGGAGATTTTTATCTTCTGGATGTATCCATGAAACTGAAGCAGCCTCACTTGTTAGCTGAAAAGAAGGATAAAATTTCAAACCCTTAACAATTCTTGATTACTGCACTTAACAGCAAAATTCTAATTTTTGAATTTAACCCATATGTAATTCTCAAGTTTTCATTTGTCTCTTCTGTTGGCTCACTACCTACTAGCCCCATCAACTTTATATTAGTTTCTTAAACATGCTAAATGTTTTCCAATATCAGAGAATTTTCTCATCATGTGCCTTCAAGATTCATCTTGTTTTACTCAACTCCCATTTCTTGTTGCTCCAATATTGATGAATGATCTGTCTCTACCCAGATATTATCTTTCCATGTAGTTTATTCTTCTCTACAGTGTTTTCCACCATTTTAAAATATGTACTTAAATACTCAGTAAAATACATAAACACATTATTTACTTAAATAGCCTGTTCTCCCTTTTCCTTTTTTTTTATTTGTTTCTCTTTATTTTCTCTAGGCCTTGTGTTATCTAGGTTTTCTAAGGCAAAAACAAATAAGAGAGTTTCTTGTTCCGAAACTTTATAGTTAGTTCTGACCATGTTTTCCACCTTCCACTGTGGACAGAGAAAAAATACCATTGTGTTACAAGTGTGAGAAGGGGAAAATCAAACAGTATTTGGTTAATATTTAGTAATATAACATAGGGATATATATATTCATGTTTTCAATTTTGCTTCAAGTTTGTTGCGCTGATATAATGTAAGCTCCATGATGAAAAGTACCATACCTATTTTGTTTTCCACAGTATCCTCAAATTTAACACACTATCAAACATAGAGAAGGCCATGTTATATATATGTTGAATAAATTATTGCAGAGCAGCCTACATGGTTTCTCTGTCACTAGGTCTGATCCATTGTAAACACTTCATACACAACGATCTTTGTGAATAAAAATATACTCCTATTAGACACCTATTTAAATTTTTTCAAGATTTCACACTGCTCTGAGAAGCTCCAGCCTATTTTCCATAGTTTTAATAATTATGCTTCACCATGATGCTTCAACTTCTCCCTTCGTATTCATTGGAGAGAATCCTCCTGTAATGTTAAGTGCCCTCCTGTAACACTCTAAATGTATCTGATCACTGTTCTTCAGCTGGTTTTAGTTTTGCATTTTCTCTATTCGATTACAACCTCTAAAAACACATATATTTTCATGTCATTTTATCCACAGTTTCTACCTCAGCCTGTGCACAAGGAAGACAGTATATATTTGTGGAATGAATTAATAAAACAATTCAGTAATTCTGTTGTATTGCCTTCTTAAGTCAAGTTTAGCCTAAAGCTGCTTCCTTACATATTTAAGGTCCAGTCTAAAGATTTCTCTGTACGTAGTGACATATACCTACATGGAGGTGTAAACAGACTCTAACCTACTCTTGTGCCAATCACCAAGTTTTGGCCAGTCAAAGGGTGCCAACTATTCAAACCGTGTTTAAATAAGGTAAATGCTGGGCTGTAACCAACCCAACTGTTTATGTACCTGACTTCTCTTATCTCTATGTCACCTTCCTTTTTCTGTCCATAAATCTTCCACCACGTGGCTGCTCAAAGTCTCTCTGGGAATTGAGAGGCCTCCCAATTCAGAAATAGTTCTTTGCTTAACTAAACTCTGTTAAATTTAACTTGTCTAAGGTTTTACTTGTAACGCCTTTCGTAAAAGAGTATTTCATTTTTCAAGGTAAAATTAATTTGTCCTGTCATTTATTTATTATATATAATGGTATATAAATTAGGTTTTATTTTTTAAAGTAACATTGTGCCAATGACAATCATCCACTTATCACTGCTTTTATCTAAACTTTCCTCCCTAAAAGATAAATAGCAGCTTCTATTAATCAAGTAGTCATTAAAAAATCTAAAATACTTTCATTTCTTATATCATAATAACAAAAATATTTATATTGTTATATAATAGTGACAAGTATAAACATACTACAAAGTACTTTAATGTATATAGCAAAAATACGGAGGTAGGTATTTTATAGCCACGTTGGTTTAAAGATATTAATAAGTTCGTTTTACTACATTATGAAAATGTGACTTATTTTAATTAAATGACTAACTAAACAACTAACCTGATACTGTATCTAAAATTCCCAGATTACAAACATCTCGTGAATTAATAAATAAGACAATAAAAGAGCTAATCTTTTAACATGTACTATGAAAGATGAAGAAAATATCTTCTGATACTTATGCATTATTTAAAGAATTCTACATTACATATTGCATATTATTTAATATAATTACACATTGTTCACATAATCCAAATCTTCAATTATATACTTTATTTTCTGCCTAATTGGAGTTTATAAGAAAGTACCACATGCATATACAATAAGAGATATGCAACATATTATGATCATCAGGTTACATGCTGAAAATTAATCATTGAGAATCCACTTATAATATGATAGGCTACCACGACATATTTGATTTTACTACCTAAACATTCAGGAGAGTAAATTAGGAACAGTGTTTGCTATCATTAACTTAGAATACAAAAAATATTGCATACATTCAGTCAACGTTTTCTCCCTATTAAATTGGATGCTTACAGAATATCATTGGGTTACCTGGAAATACACCATTAAAAAATTCAATTGAAACTTTATGTCTTAAAACAAAAACTTTTGGAGTGCTGATGTTGGATCAAATGTTCTTGTGTTGTTAATAAAAAAAAGAAACTCTTGATTACAGAGAAAACAATTCTTTACTTAAGAGAATATCCATGGCATATAGACAGATGTCTGTGGAAATAACTTTCTAGGAAACAATAAAATATACAAATATTTTGCATACTACTTGAAAGTAATTTTTCATATCTCCACATTAGTCATTTTTCCAATTTTATATTTCTAAAGTATTGGAAAGAAAATGAGGGTGGTGATTTATATGTACGTTTCTGGAATAAACAGAGAAAATCTCTCATAAGGTATATATTTGTTTTAATTTGGTTTTATAGGGTTTCCCTAGATTACATTTCTGTGCCTCCCTTAAAGCCAATCTAATACATGTTATAGTTCAATAACAGAGTTGCCTTGCTCCTCTTTAGTATTTAAATTCGGTTCCAAGCTTTACTCCTAATGATTTCTCCCTAGTAATCATTAGTAAATATATGAAGAGAGAACACTAAGAATTTATGTACTATATAAATAAAAACATAAGCCTAACTTTCATGGAAAAACACGTAGTCACTAGGGAATCTTTGTTTTAAACTAACACTTATGATTATATGTTGAAAAACTTCATCAAAGTATCGATGACATAATCTTCCAGAAGTAGTTTATTGTTAGTGCTGCTTGAAGTGATTAAATTAATGAATATAACCTCAAGAATGGTGGGCCAAAGAAGATATAATGTTTCATTCACTTAAAAAATCAGTTGCAGTGTTTCTTAAAATGTACATGACAACATTGCATCAAATTTAACTTGGAGTGCCAATAAAAAATTTAGAATCTTAGATCTCACATCCAAATCAACTAAATCAGAAATGTAGGGGAAAAAAAGACAAGTGAATATGCATTTCAAATAAGCTTCTCATATGATTCCAATGAATGAGTTTAAGATGAATTGAAGAATATATATGTGCATATATATATATATATATATATATAAACACACACACACACCCACACACACACACACCCCATATATACTCCAAACTTAAACCAATCAAACTTGGCAGGGTACGGTGGCCCTCAACTGTAATCCCAGCACTTTGGGAGGCCAAGGTGGTGGATCACTTGAGGTCAGGAGTTTGAGACTAGGCTGGCCAACATGGTGAAACCCTGTCTTTACTAAAAATACAAAAATTAGTCAGGTGTGGTGGTTTGTGCCTGTGTAGCCCTAGCTGCTTGGGAGGCTGAGGCAGGAGAATCACTTGAACCCAGAAGGTTTCAGTGAGCAGAGATCACACCACTTCACTCCAGCCTGGGCGACACAGTGAGACTCCATCTCAAAAAAAAAAAAAAAAAAGAAAGGAAAAGAAACAATCAATCAACCAAATAACAAAAACGACAAAGGTATAAATCCAAAATTCATATTCATTATTATTCTAACACCACCCTGTGCTGCCTTTCATTTTGACAGGCGATCAACAAAACTTGTCAGCATAAAACATATAAAACATATACATATATATATATATTTTTTATTTTTTGAGACAGAGTCTTGCACTGTTGCCCAGGCCGTAGTGCAGTGGCATGATCTCGGTTCACTGCAAGCTCTGCCTCCTGGGTTCATGCCATTCTCCAACCTCAGCCTCCTGAGTAGCTGGGACTACAGTCCCCTGCCACCACGCCCAGCTAATTTGTTGTACTTTTACAGCAATTAGAGATAGGGTTTCACCGTGTTAGCCAAGATGGTCTTGATCTTCTGACCTCATGATCCGCCTGCCTTAGCCTCCCAAAGTGCTGGGATTACAGGCGTGAGCCACCGCGCCAGGCCAAAACATATATTCTTAATATAGCAGTACTCTGTAAGACTTTTTCTAACAAATATGGTGTCTTTGGATAAAGCAGAAACATCATTAAACCAGAATATAAAGCTATGCAAAAAAAAAGCCATGACTTAAAATTTACCTTCTACTCACCTTATAGGCTGAGCAGTGTACTTGCACAATCATATTTATGACCTTGAAGATATGTGGCCTCAATAAATTTATTAATGGAAACTCACTTTACAGCACTCTACTATGCTGAGTTAAACTACACCACACTGTACTGTACCTTGGTATATGATATAATCCTATTCAATACTGCAATATAATATAGAGCATACTCTTTATGTACTCTAGATAACTAACAAAAGTTGTTGCTATTACTGTTAAAGTATTAACCTTTTATATCCTACCATCAGGCATAAACATAAGGATCACTGATAAATTATTATTTGTCTGAAATACATGAATAAGTTAAATCTTGCAATGTCACTTTTCATGTAATAGATTAACTTGTACTTTTCATATCATGTGTGCAAAGAAAAACAGGTGATTATAGCTCAATATGGAGAAGCAGATACACCTGACAAGGGAACTAACAGGTCAACACATTAGACAGGTAACAGAAAGCTTCTTGGTGAAAAATGAAGTTTCAGATAGTATATATGTCTGTATATGGGAGGGTGTGTGAATATATATACATATATGCATATTTAGTGATATCTATCTATCAACTACCTACCGATCTATCTATTTATCATCTCCGGATTGGCATATAGTCTTTAGACCCTGCTCCACAGTGGACCTCAAAATTCTAGCTCGTGGAGCATACCCCAAATTGAAGACCTAGTAGCCTGGCCTGACCTAAGCAGGAGTAGTACAGAGAGCTTAGCTGCAGAGAAATCTAAATCATGTTCAAAGAGGGTAAACATTTTTATCAAAGAAGTCATGATCAATTTCAATCCAAAAAGAGAATATAAGATAGACAGTTCATGAGAGCAGAGGTTAAAAAGTTTGTCATAATAAAAGGCATAATTATTATAATGAGATTGATCAATCTAAACAGTTTCAGTGGTAGGCCATGGAAAAGGCTAGATGGTTAGAAAGTCTATGTAGAGAACACTTTTACACTGTTGGTGGGACTATAAACTAGTTCAACCATTGTGGAAGTCAGTGTGGCGATTCCTCAGGGATCTAGAACTAGAAATACCATTTGACCCAGCCATCCCATTACCGGGTAGATACCCAAAGGATTATAAATCATGCTGCTATAGAGACACATGCACACGTATGTTTATTGCGGCACTATTCACAATAGCAAAGACTTGGAACCAACCCAAATGTCCAACAACGATAGACTGGATTAAGAAAATGTGGCACATATACACCATGGAATACTATGCAGCCATAAAAAATGATGAGTTCATGTCCTTTGTAGGGACATGGATGAAACTGGAAACTATCATTCTCAGCAAACTATCGCAAGGACAAAAAACCGAACACCACATGTTCTCACTCATAGGTGGGAATTGAACAATGAGAACACATGGACACATGAAGGGGAACATCACACTCCAGGGACTGTTGTGGGGTGGGGGGAGTGGGGAGGGATAGCATTAGGAGATATACCTAATGCTAAATGACGAGTTAATGGGTGCAGCACACCAACATGGCACATGTATACATATGTAACAAACCTGCACATTGTGCACATGTACCCTAAAACTTAAAGTATACTAATAAAAATAAAAAAAAAGAAAGTCTATGTAGAGGAAGAACCAGTGTTGCCAACCGAGCTGCTATGATTATTCTGAAGATAAATGAACCAAGCAAATTTTAAACATTTTTAACTTGGGATATAACAGATAATAAAAATAATTTTAACATATCTCATTGTCTTAGTCTTATCAAGCTGCTATAACAAAATATCATAGTATAAGTAGCTTAGAAATGATAGAAACTTATTTCTCTTAGTTTTGTAAGCTGAGACGTCCAAGACTGAGGAATGGCAGATTCAATGTCTCATGCGGGTCCACTTTCTCGTTTATAGATGGCACCTTTTAGCTGTTCTTCACATAATGGAAGGAGCAAGGCAGCTCTCTGAGACATCTTTTATAAGGAATACTAATGCCATTCATGAAAGCTCCACTTTCATAAACTAATCACCTTCTAAAGACTCCATCTCCAAATATCATCACGGGTGATTAGGTTTTTTTTTTTTTTTTTTTTTTTGTTTTTTTTTTTTTTTTTTTTTTTTTTGAGACGGAGTCTCGCTCTGTCGCCCAGGCCGGACTGCGGACTGCAGTGGCGCAATCTCGGCTCACTGCAAGCTCCGCTTCCCGGGTTCACGCCATTCTCCTGCCTCAGCCTCCCGAGTAGCTGGGACTACAGGCGCCCGCCACCGCGCCCGGCTAATTTTTTTTTTGTATTTTTAGTAGAGACGGGGTTTCACCTTGTTAGCCAGGATGGTCTCGTTCTCCTGACCTCATGATCCACCCGCCTCGGCCTCCCAAAGTGCTGGGATTACAGGCGTGAGCCACCGCGCCCGGCCGATTAGGTTTTATCATATAAATTTCGGTAGGACTCAAATATTCGGACTATAGCACTTATGCTTGTCAATTCATGAATATTAACCATGAACTCATATATTTATGATATAGATAGACAGATAGATAGATAGATAACATGATTTTTTTAAACCATTGCATTTTAGCTATGAAGAAATAAAATGATCTGGGCTATTATAAAAAAAATTAAGTCCTTATCTTGGAAAGCACAAATCTAGTGATGATTAGCCGCACTTAATTATGAGGAACTGGAAACAAATAACACAATCTAGGAACCTCGCAAAATTACCTCTCTGCAGTAAGCTTTACAAGGAACCATGTCTTACAAGTATGGTCTAAACTAAGGTCTGAACTAACTTTCAGGCTGAGAATTGGTGTTGGTGACATGTGCTCCTTTACTTCCTGATGATCAGTAGGTAAGCAACTAATGAGAAGAGGTCTGCACTTACATGGATGACTCAGTCAAGCTGTGAGCTGGTAACACGTTCTTCTCATCCCCTTTGTTTGCTTTAGAGATTTTATTCATATAGTAATGTTACCACTTGGGGTAAGTGAGGCAACATGCATCAACCTGCACTCGCTTTTGTCTACTTACCAGAATAAAAGTAGATAGGGTTCTATGATAGGTTTACAAACCCCACAAAATGCCAGACCATTCTGGCTCAATAAAGTCCCTTTATTTAACATAGAAATTAAATGATTTCCTTTTCTTCTTTTATTTAATTCATTTGTCCAAAATGTATCATTTTCTTTTAATTTAATCTTTTATTCTGCTACATAAATACCTCATGCTTCCCCAGTTCTTGTTCCCTAAGTTGGAATTAAACCATCTATTGTTTCTAACCCTGATTGTTCTTTACTCATTATCATGTGGCTATTTTAACTATGATTTTACTAACAGGATGAGGGGATTCCATTTCCTTGGCAACAAGTACAAGGGCCTGAAAAGAGTAATCTCATTTATATTAGATGAGCTATTTAGTCACACTTAAGCTCTAAAACTGTGTTCATGTCTCATCTCACTCTTGCAATGAGAACAGTGCAAACACTCTGCAATGTGTTATATTCTTGCAACATTATCTGGTAAGGGCAAGGATAAAAACAAGAATTAGGCAGAAACATCTCCTCTTGTAAAATATTCCTATTTTAAATATATGAAAAAATTACATATATATGAGCAGTTTTATAGTTCACATTTTTAACCTTTATCCTGCCTTATTTTTTTTTAGCACATGCAGTGTAATGATAATATGTTAATATTAGGAATAGTGGGTGTCCTTGTTTACTTCTGACTGTAATGGAAATGAATCTGGTATTTCTATTTTAAGCATTATTCTGATTTGGAGTTTAAAATTTGTACATTTTCTAATGATAAATAGCTATATATCTAATCTTAATAAATTAAGAGTTTTAAGCAAGATTGATTATTGCCTTCTATGAATCCCCATTTTAGCATCCATGGAGATGATCATATCACAGTGTTAAAATACATGAAATTTGGACCTAGACACTTGTATTCACAATCCAGTTTCACTATGCTACGCTATCTTTAAGAAGCAACTTAACCTTCCTTTATTTTAGGTTCTTCTAGTCTTCTTTTGTAAAATAGAAATGGCATGGACCTATTTCATAAGGTCATTATGATGATTAACTGTAAACTGCTTTGAACAGAGAGAGGTACACAGAAAATATTACATACATGTTTCTTATTATTCTTTCTATATCTTTCCCTTAAAGATAAAAAAATCCCCAGTATTAATATAACAATCACTGCTTAGTTATGATGAATTATCCTTTCAACCACTGATGAATTCTGCTGTTAATATTTTACTTAAAATATGTTCATCAATATTTTTATTACTTGCCTAAGGTGGCCATACTAAACTACCACAAAGTGAGTGGCTTACAGCAGCAGAAACATATTTTTTCACAGTTTTGGAGGCCAGAAATCTGAAATCAAGGTGTTGGTTTGGCCACACTCCATCTAGAGAATGAATCTAGGAGGGATTCTGTTCCTTGCTTCTTCCAGGTTCTGTTGGTCCCAGATGTTCCCTAGCAGGTAGCTGCTTAACTCTTATCTCTGCCTCTCTCTTCACAGAGTCTTCTCCTCTGTCTCAAATGTCTTTTTTCTTTCTCACCTTCTCATAAGAATTTAAAGGCCACCTGGATAATCCAAGGGATCTCGTCTGAAAATCCTTGACTTATATTACATCTGCAAAGCTGTTTGTTCAAATAAGGTCACACTCACATTTTCTGGTACAAATATTTTTTGGGAGGTCACTATAGTATTCACAATCAAGCTTGTCTGTAATTCTGTTTGTTTGGGTAATGTTTGTCAGGTTTTGATTTTGAAAATATACTTGCCTTTAACAAGTGAGTTATTTTACTTCCTCTTATTAGAACAGGTACTTCCTCTTCTTAGAACAGAACTCACATTAAAAATTGAGTTACTTTACTTCCTCTTCTTAGAACAGTTCAAATAGCATTTAAATGAGCTCTTCTTTTATAGGAGAATCCTAGAAAATGGTTTATGCTTCATCTGTTTTATTTATTATTTTGGGGGACTCTTTTTCCAACTTTCTTTCTTCATTTTTGAAAACAATTCTCAAAAGGCCATTTCTTCTGTGGTCTATTTTGTTATATTACTTTTTTTCCAGAAAATTTTTCAGTTTTTCTGTTTTCAAATTCATTTATTTTGACTGATTTATTTTAATATTCCAATTGTTTTAGTCTTTGCTCCTTCTTTTCCCCTCCTATCTTTTCATATTTTGTTTATCTGAACGTAAGTTTTTAAAAAAATTGATTGGATAAACTTATATGTCTTTTCTTCCCCCAAAATATTTACCCACACAACCCTTTACAATATGAAGGATGATGTAGGTAGATCTTGATGTGAATTAGCTTTCCAGTAAAGATCACAGTCTGAGGTGGGGGCACTAACAGGTCTTCAAGCCTGCATTTATTGATTTGAGTATTTTTGTTTGCAAAACATAGTGATAATTGGAGCCCCCAAAATTAATGTCACCTAAGAGATAGTATCCAGTAATTCCTTATAACAGGATATTTCCCTTTTCGTAGTATTTATTCCCAATGATCATAAGCTGAAAGTACCTTTTGAAAAGAAGAGTAGGAAAAATGACAGTAAATATTTTTATCTGAGTTTCAGAGTTCAAGGGACTCTAAGGCTGTGAACTAGGTCTGGGACATCACTGGGAAATGGTGACCTTCTGTGGTAGAGAAAGTAGACAGTACAACAGACTTATAGTGTTTGGCCTGTTTTTATTCTGTTTTGTTTCTTTTAAATTATAAATATCCATTAAGATCTTAGCAAACTGCTAATATATTTTGGTCCTTGGAACATCATGATCTCTACTGGTTAGGTATTCTTATTATTATTTAGGCTCTGTTGACCTTTTGATTGCCACATTAACTATGTCCCAGGTGTTTAGGGAGAGTCACTTGACTCCTCTGAGATCTTATCATCCTCTTGAAATTAGAGAGACTCATTTTAATGATGGCTTCTTCCAGGCTGGAAAAGACTTGTGCTGTAGAGTTCTCTAAGCATGTTATCATCAATCTTACCAATGAACTTTTTCATTTCTTGATGAAGATGGTATCACCCAACGAATTCTTGGAGACAAAGATTTATAATAGGGAGGAGACTAAGCGAGTCAGACAAGAATTCACAATAACCAAGATATGAAATCAAGCTGAGTGTCAACAATGGATGAAAAGATAAAGAAAATGTAGTAAAATACACAATGGAATACTATCCAGCCATACAGAGGCTTAAAATTCTGTTATTTGCAGCAACATAGATGGAACTGGAGGTCATTAGGTTAAGCAAAATAAGAGAGGTACAGAAAGACAAATATTGCATATTCTCACTCATAAGTGGGACATAAAAGAGTTGATTTCATAGAGGTAGAGAGTAGATATATGGTTATCAGACATTGGGAAGGGTGTGGTGTGTGGTGTGTTGGCAGAAGGATGAGAAAAGAGGTTGGTTAATGGCTACAAACATACGATTAAATAGAGAAAATAAGTTCCATGGTTCAGTCTCACAGTAGGGTGAATATAGTTAACAACAGTGTTATTATATATTTCAAAATAGCTGAAAAGATTTGAAATGTTCCTCATGCAAAGAAATGACAACTGTGCAAGATGATGAATATCCTAAATAGCCTGATTTGATCATTACACATTTTATGTGTATATCAAAGTATCACATTTGTACCGTAAATATGTATAAATATTATGTATTAATACAAAACTTAAATAGAGAAAAATCTGTTCCAAAATTTCTATCTTTCTAACTTTTCAAATTTCTATTTCTATATTTTACCAAGAAAGTTCTGGCATTCAGGCTTTATTTAATGTAGGCCACTGTTGAGTCAAGGATAAGTTACCAGCTATGCAAACTGTTAGAGTTAATCTCAGATTTGTGAATTAAAGTATTAAACCTAGCATGTTTGGTAAGTACATTTGGCTTGCCATTTTTTTCCTACCTTATCTTGAAGCCATTTTCATTCATTTCCTTCAGGTTTCTGTGTATATAAACCATCTCCTGCTTATTCAGATGTGGGACTCATTATCCTGGAATATGACAAGATCTACCCTAGCCTTCCTTAGTCTAGATACACAAATGGTGATATGGTTAGATCTTGCTTAGAATCAGCATATAAAAAAGGTTGATGTCCAAATTAAGGTTCTTAAAGAGGCTCTTAAAGGGATTCTAGCTTCCTCATATAGAGGAAAATGGTTATTGATGCTGAGAAGATACACTTTGTAGAACCTGGCAATTTAAGAACCTTGATTTTTTCTGATTCTATTAAAGTGTACCTTTCAAAAAATTTTCCAGGTGCCATTCTCTCCCTATTGATACAATAACATCCATATAGAAGCCTTGGCAAGGCTATAAATCTAAATTGAGTTGTCATTCTGCAATCTGAAAAATCTAATTTGTGTCTTAGTAAGATATTTCAATCCCTGGGCTAGAAATGATTTTAAAAAAATTTACAGCAATCAACAAATCTTTATTTTTCCAGGCTTGCTTTGAGGTCCGGATGTAAAGCCCTGAACATTCCATTGTCTGTGTAAGACTTTTGTGTGTAATACAAAACAGACAGTCCTCCCCAAACCCTAAGAATCATGACTCCTATTGTAATACTCCATTTCAGCAGCCACATGATCACTCATTTACTTTCTTTATATAGACACTTTATTCCAGTGAAATAGACATTATAATTCACATACCCGATTTTAACTAAATGATAGAAACTTATAACCAATTTTTGTCTGATGATGTAATCATCGTTGTCTTCAAAATTAACTAAGTTGATAGCAAATACTAGGTTTATGTTTGTGCAGATGTTTTTCCTGGAACTACTTCTAAAATAACAGTATTAGCCAGGATTTTATCTAGTATTAAGAAACCACTCTACATTTCAATCTAGAAAATATTAAACACAGGAAATTAGATGTTTATGCAACACTCAAAAGTGTTAAAAGAGAGATGGTCAGAGAACATTGAAACTCTTTTTTAGTTTTTGCCATTAGTTTCAGTACTGCAGGAAAGTTTTGGCCAATGGTCACAGCTGCCTTTAGGAGTGACTTAAGAAATTTCTAGGGGAGTTTGCAGAAGAGATGAAAAGGTCCCATGCTGAGGTCGGCATTCATATCTTCCTTTTTCTGTCTGGAAAAATTCTGCTCTGCCTTCCATATCTCACATGCAGGCCTCTCACTAGAAGAGTTTCCACTGAAACAAAAATAATAGGGGATTCTAGGAAAAATAGTTTACAGACTTCCAACCTCTGTGATACAAAGAAAGCATAGAATATTTCAGAAATGGCATTGTCTGTCAGCAGGGACATAAAAGACACATTTATTTTCGTGTTTGTAAATAATGTCTATCTCTTAGCCTCACTAAAAATTGAGCTTGCAGGATACAATTTTTTTACTATTTTGTTGACACCTTTTCATGGTTTCCTGGAATAAATCACTATTTAACAATATTCATGTTGGAAACAATCAATGTTTTAATATAAAATATTGTACTTCTCAAAAATATTTTTCTCCTAAATATATTTAAAAGTGTGCCAAAATAACTTTTTAAAACAAGGTGAGTACTTTATTTTATGCCCCTCCCAATATAAGGCGAGTGAGTTACAGCTCTTTATCCTAGGTATCAAAATTTAATACACTGAAGTGATATAAAATAATGTCTTGCTTATTGCAACCACTTAAGGGATAAAGCAATTAGATTGTGTTTAGTGTTAATTATTTACTAATAAACTATAAGATATCAGTTATGTAACCACAAAACATGAGAAAATGCTTCCTTAGAAAATCTATATCCTCCACAAACTAAACCACAAATAAACCGATTAATTTGCAGTTATACAAGTCAGTTACACAATTTACACAAATTGTACAAGAAGTTATGTAAGAAGTCATGCACAAAGTTTTATAAAACTTTACACATGAAGTCAGTTGAAGCTAGATCAGAAATCAGACATCGCTGGTTCAAATACTCCTTGTGAATGTTAATAATTCACTTCATTTAGATTAATCAGAAATATGGACTGAAATTTTGAGTACTATCACTGATATTAATGAATATTTCCATTTTATAGGCTTGAAAATTTATAGATGATATATAGAGGTAATCTGAAAGAGCAAATGCTATCCATAGAAACGCTGCCACAATTAATTCAGGCAGCCACTAAGCCTTTAATGATGGTACTTATTCATTGAAGAATAAAACTGACCATAATATTTCGTACTGAGTGAACTTTAGAGTTCAAGCAATCGAGTTGAAACCTGAACACTGCCACTTACTGTAGAACCTTTGGCAAGATACATCTGACGCACCTGACTTTCATCCTTTATAAAATAGATATGTGTATGTTATGTTCTTCATATTGTTTATGTGGTTTACAAGAGTTAATACATGAAAAATGGTTACAAACTTGCTTAGTATGTAATAAGCTCTCAATGCATGTTAAATGTTTTATTATTATCTGACAATAGCAGTAGAAATAGTAGCAGGTTGTACCTATTATTTTGATAACTTAAAATTTTACTATACAAAAATTCTGCTATTTGTACAGACAAAAATTCAAGTACCAAATTGATGCCCTGTAGCTGTTTAGATGATTCTGATAAACAGGTATTCTAGTTCTGAGAATGGCAGAAACCTTATGAATCATTTCTTCCAAATGTAAAATACAATAAACCTATTAAACTAGGTTGAAAAACTTTACTTTTTTTTTTCTTTCAAAATCTCAGCTTTTCTCTGAGCAATAAACTCACTGGGAACAAACAAATTCTTGACAAATCTATTCAACTAAAAAGTATATTTGAGCATATAAGGGAAACAGAAAGAGGTGGAGATAAAATAGAATATAACAAAGACCCAGAATAAAACCAACAAAAACAAGCAGAGTAGATAATTTTTATGTGTATTTTTTTAGGTTAGAATTACCTGTTTCTTCTTCACTGTATGTAAGTAATAAAATATATTTTACAATTGTATCTCCATAAATTATGTTTTATAGATTGGCAATGCAAACATCATATGCTCAAAATATTATTCATTCTTAGAAAATGTTACATAGCTATTAGAGTGACTCCAGACTGACATATAGCAAACTTTAAGAGAAACTAATGTAAGTGAAATGGAAAATAAGATAAAAATTTTGATGAAAGTTCATCAACCAACCCGGCCCAGACTGTTCAGAAATCCTTTCATCCATTTCACCACCATCTTTAAATAGTTTTTAGGTTCTAAAATGTACACTTTTTACTTTCTGAGAAGTTTACTAAGAAAATACAGTTACAAAATTCACAGTTTATCTTAAAAAATAATATAAATCACATAATAACACCAAAAGCTACACAATTGCATAAGCAAAAAGTCATTTCCATTATCATATTCTATAACTCATCACAATGCTCTAATTCCACTAACATTCCTTTATTATCAGGAACTATTTATTTACCTTTGAAATTACTCTTAGAGCAGCCCAACTCATTCTATCTATATTATGAGTGATAGAAAACTATTAGCTTTTAAAAGAATCTGTTAATCCATTCTTCAAACAGCAAGTCTTAAAGCAAGTCCAAGAGAGAGGAGCATGAAATGTTTGGATAAATCACAGTCAAAACTTACCAAATTTGATATGATTTCATCTCCCAGATAAGATGATGGAAATAATAAAAAATATTTTTTCTAGAGAAAACAGACTAATATTAGAGAAGATCAGTAAAATAAAGTTTTTAAATAAGATCTAAAATTAATAAACATCTAGATAGAATAATAAAGATAAAAGAGAAAAATCAGCAATTTCCAAAATTAGAAATGAAAAAGGATCTATAACTGCTGATTCCACAGATGTTGAAAAGTTAATGTGGAGATATGTTGAACAATGCTACGCCCATAAATACATATGAAAAATTTAAATTGCTTAGTAGACACAAATTATAAAAAGTTACAAAAGAATGAATAGAAATTGAATTTCATCATATTCATTAGAAAAATATTTGTAATTACAAAATTTCCAAAAAAAAAGAAATTCAGTCCCACATGTGCTTATTGATTAGTTTCATAAAAAATTCAAGGGTGAAAATTATTTCAAGCCTACATAAAATAAACTCTTTCAGAACTAAGAATGGAGACAGATACTTCTCAACTTATTCTGTAAAATCATCATTACCTTGATTCTTAAACCATACAAGGACATTACAAGGGAAAACACTTATAGAACAATATACTTCATGAACACAGACAAATAGAGTAATATTATTTTCCTATATCTATAGATAGATTTGCCTGTCTATCTATCATCTACCTACCTGTCTCTTTATTCTCTGTTAAAAGATCATGATTTTAAAATTTGAAATAAACCTGTGCTTTTATATAAGATACTTTCTTACATTAAAAAGATTTTCACTTTGTGATTTTTAAAAATATAATTTCAATTTTTATTTTAGATTCAAAGGGTGCACCTGCGGTTAGTTACATGAGCAAATTTCATGATGCTGAGGTTTGGGGTACCAATGATCGCCATCACCCAGGTAGTGAGCATATTAACCAATAGGCAGTTTTTCAGCCCTTACCCTCTGTGTCTCTGCCCACTCTAGTAGTCCCTGGTGTCTATTGTTCCCATCTTTATGTCTATGTGTACCCAATGTGTAGATCCCAATTATAAGTGAAAAAAGTGGTTTTCTGTTCTTGTATTAATTTACTTAGGATAATGACCACTAACTACATCCATGCTGCTGCAAAGGACATGATTTTGTTCTTTTTTATGGCTGCATAGCGTTCCGTGGTGTATATTTACCACTTTGCTTTATCCAATCCACCATTGATGGGCACCTAGGTTGATTTCATGACTTTGTTCCTGGGAATAGTGCTGGAATGAACATAAAAGGGCATGTGTCTTTATTATAGAACTATTTATTTTGCTTTGGGTATATATCTAGTAATGGGATTGGTGAGTCAAATTGTAGCTCTGTATTAAGTTCTTTGAGAAATCTCCAAACTGCTTTTCACAGTGACTGAATTAATTTACATTCCCAACAGTGTACAAACATGCCCTTTTTCTCCACAGCCGCACCAGCATCTATTATTTTTTAACTTTTTAATAGTAGCCATTCTTGCTGGTGTGAAATGGTTTTGAGTTGCTTTCCTCTGATGATTAGTGATGCTAACCTTTTTATAATATATGTTTGGTGGCTGCTTGTATGTCCCCTTTTGAGAAGTGCCTATTAATATCCTTTGCCTACTTTTTAATAGGGTCATTTGTCTTTTGCTTGTTGAATTGCTTAAGTTTCTTATAGATTCTGGGTATTAGGCCTCTTAGTTTGTAAATATTTTCTTCCATTCTGTAGGTTTTCTGTTCACCGTGTTGACTGTTACTTTTGCTAGGCAGGAATTCTTTAGTTTAATTCAGTCTCACTTGCCAATTTTTATTTTTGTTATCATTGCTTTTGAGGACTTAGTCATAAATTATTTGCCAGGGCCAATGTCTAGAATGGTATTTTCTAGATTTTCTTTTAGAATTTTTATAGTTTAAAAATTCTTAGATTTAAATATTTAATCCATCTTGAGTTAATTTTATATGGTGTAAGGAAGGGGTCCAGTTTCATTCCTCTGCATATGACTAGCCATATTGGATATGACTAGCAACATTTATTGAATATGACTAGCAACATTTATTGAATACGGAGTTCTTTCCCCATTGTTTATTTTTGTCAACTTTGTCTAAGATCCTATGATTGCAAGTGTGTAGCTTTATTTCTGAGCTCTCTATTCTGTTCCATTGGTCTATGTTTTTGTTTTTGTACCAGTACCATGCTGTTTTTATTATTGGAGCCTTATAGCGTGGTTTGGAATAGGGTAGTGTGACATCTCTGGCTTCATTATTTTTGCTTAGGATTGCCTTGGCAATTTGCGCTCTATTTTGGTTCCATATGAACTTCAGAATAGTTCTTTCTAACTGGGTGAAAAATGATATTGGTAGCTTAGTAGGAATAGTATTGGATCTGTAGATGAGTTTGGGCAGCATGGCCATTTTAATGATACCGATTCTTCTGATCCATGAGAAAGAAATTTTTTTCATTTGTTTATGTCATCTATGATTTCTTTCTGCACTACTTTGTAGTTCTCCTTGTAGAGATCTTTCACCACACTGGTTAGATATATTCCTAGGTATTTTATTTCTTTGTGGCTATTATAAATGGGATTGCATTCTTGATTTGGCTCTCAGACTAAATACTTCTAGTTTATAGAAATGCTACAATTTTTATACATTGATTTTTTTATCCTGAAACTTTGCTAAATTGTTTATTAGTTGTAAAAGACTTTTGGAAGAGTCTCTAGGGATTTCTAGGTATAGAATCATATCCTTGGTGAAGAAAGATAATTTGACTTCCTCTTTTTCTATGTGGATACCTTTTATTTTTTTCTCTTGCCTGATTCATCTGGCTAGGACTTCTAGTATAATGTTGAATAGCAGTGGTGAGAGTGAGCATCCTTGTCTGTTCCTGTTATTAAGGGGAAGCTTCTAGCTTCTGCCCGTTTAGTGTGTTACTGGCTGTGGTTTGGTCATAAATGAAACTTATTTTGAAGAATGTTCTTTTGATGCATAGTTTATTGAGAGTTTTTATCATGAAGTGATGTTGGATTTTATCAAAAGCTTTTCCTGTATCTATTAAGGTAATCATATTGTTTCTGTTTTTAATTCTGTTTATGTGGTAAATCGTATTTATTGGTTCTTTTTTCCTACGATAATTAGTGTCAGTTCAATATTTGTTGTTTTGTGTATGTTAAACCAACTTCAAATCCCAGGAATAAAGCCTGCTTCATTGTGATGAATTAACATTTTGATATGATGTTAGATTTGGTTTACTGGTATTTTGCTGAGGATTTTTGTGCCCGTGTTCATCAAGGATATTACCCTGTAGTTTTTTTTTCTTTTTTTTTTTTTTTGTCTTTGCCAGATTTTGGTATCAAGGTGATGCTGGCTTCATAGAATGAGTTAGAAACAAGTCCTCACTCCTCGAATTTTGGGATAGTTCCAGTTGAATTGGTACCAGCTCTTCTTTGTACATATGGTAGAATTTGGCTGTGAATTCATTTGGTCCCAAACTTTTATTGTTTTGTATATATTTTTTTAATTAATGATTCAATTTCAGAACTTGACATTGTTCTGTTCAAGGTTTTAATTTCTTCTTCATTCAATCTTGGAAGGTTCTATGTTTCCAGGAATTTATCCATGTCCTCTAGATTTTCTAGTTTGTGTATATAGAGGAGTTCATAATAGTCTCTGAAAATCTTTGTATTTCTGTGGGATTGGTTGTAATGCCACCTTTGCCATTTATGAATGTGCTTATTTGAATCTTCTCTCTTTTTTTCTTGCTTAATTTTGTTAGTGGTCTATTGATCTTATTTATTATTTCACAGAACCAGCTTTTTGTTTTGTAGATCCTTTGCATGGATTTTTGGGCTTTAAATTTATTCAGTTCTGTTCTGATCTAATTTATTTATTTTCCTCATCTCCTTTGGGGTTATTTTGTTCCTATTTTTCTAATTCTTCTTGGTATAATTTTAAATCATTAATTTGAGAATCTTTTTAACTTCTTGATGTAGATATTTAGCACTATAATGTTTCCTCTTAATGCTGCTTTTGTCTTATCTCAGAGATTTTTATATGTTGTGCTTATTTTCATTTATTTAAAGTAATTTTTTTATTTATTTCTTAATTTCCTTGCTTACTCAAAAGCCATTCAAGAGCAAGTTGTTTAATTTCCATTTAATTGTGAGAAGATGAGAAATCTTCTTGGTGTTGATTTCTTTTTATTCCACTGTGGTCTGAGAGTATGCTTGGTATGATTTCGATTTTTTTTAAATTTATCGAGAGTTGCTTTATGGCTAAGCATGTGGTTGATGTTAGAGTATGTGTTCTATGGGTAGATGAGAAGGACATATAATCTATAGTGACGGATGGAGTACTCTGTATATGGTTATTAGGTCCAATTGGTCAGGTGTCAAATTTAAGTCCATTATTTCTTTGTTAATTTTCTTCTTCATTTATCTATCTCACTCTGTCAGTGGGGTATTGAAATTTCTCACTATTATTGTGTGGCTGTCTAAGTCATTTCGTGGGTCCAGAAGTACTTGTGTTATTAATCTGGATACTCTATTGTTGGGTGCATATTTATTTAGGATAGTTAAATCTTCTTGTGGAATGGAATACTTTATGTAGTGCTCTTCTTTGTCCTTTTTTACTGTTTTGATTTAAAGTCTATTTTATCTATTATAAGAAGAGTTTCCTTGGTTTTTGTTTTTGTTTTGTTTTCTTTGTGTGTCATAGATCTTTCTCCAACCCTTTACTTTGAGCCTATGGGTGTCATTACACGTCAGATGGGTGGTTTGGTAACAGCAAAAAAAAATGGTCTTTTTTTTTTTTAAATCCAACTTGCCCATCAGTGCCTTTTAAGTGAAGCATTTAGACCACTGACATTTCAGATTAATATTGATATGTGGTGTTTTGATCCTGTTATCAAGTTGTTACCTGGTTGCTTTGTAGTTTCTATTGTGTGGTTGCTTTATAGGGTCAATGGACTATGTACTTAAGATTGTCTTTGTAGTAACAGGTATTGTTCTTTTGTTTCTATATTTGGAACTCACTTAAGGATATTTTGTAAAGATGCTGTACAATTGCTAACAAATTCCTTTAATGATTGCTTATCTGGAAATTATTTTATTTCTCCTTCACTTATGGAACTTAGTTTGGCCAGGTATAAAATTCTACGTAAGAATTTTGTTTCCTTAAAGGTACTGAAAATAGGCTCCCATGTAATACTTTTTTAGAAGTCATATTTAATGAGTTCATTTTGTTTCACAATTTTTTATAATTCAGGTCTAAATTGTACTAATTTCATTTACCATGAACTGAACCAGACTTTTTATGTTATCAGTCTTGCATTTACATTTCCACAATTCTAAATATGATGAATACATGAGTAATTGCTGATTTTCAGTCAGTTTGCTTTTTGAGATATGTTAATATCCATATTGTTTAATATTACCAAAGCTGAATAATGATAACAAATCATTTTCTAAGAAAATAACAGTATTTAAAGTAAAATGAATAATAAAACATTTAAAAACAGGTTGTGAATGAAAACAATCACTTGTTAATAATAAAAATAATAAGTTGACTAATGGCGAATACTGAGTAGGTATTAGATTTTCCTAGAAATAAAATTCAATTAAGACAGTATGCATTAATCTGAGAACTAGAAAAAGAAATCTCCATAAAATTATTCTTCGGTATGTCTGTGCTCTGACAAATCAAATATAAGAAATAAGCTGCAGTGACAAAATATGAATGGCGTTTTCACTTTTCAAACTTTTAACCTTTGGACTGACCTGTAAAGAATTTATTTACACTGAGTTTTTCCTCAGTAGTAAATATAAGCATAATGAGCAAAACTTTCTATTTGAACAAGTCTTAACAACACCTTGGCAACATTGTAGACACCTAACATATGGCTCATTTACATGAAGAGAATTTTGGCAGAACATTTAAAAATATCTAAGCCTCAAAGATGATGAGGAGACAAACAACCTGGCCCATGAAGTGATTAATACCATAGTAGACAACCATGATTGATTGCCTAGAAGACATACTACTATCACATTCCTCGATAAACATCCAGTGCAAATGAAACTTTTTTGATGTAATTTCAAATATTTTCACAGCTTCATTTTTTGGAGGTAAAATGATTCGTGCATTATGATTAGCATATACTTCTGTTGACTAGCAGGAAAACAAAGTTAGTGCACACCTTCAGAATGTAAACTACTATAATTTAATCCTATTTTTGTTTATTTTACTAAGCAAATTACAGAGATGTCTTACTATGGTGATGCAGAGGACAATATACCCCCAAATACACAGAGCCACTCAAAAATTTTGACAAAGGTATATATACATATACATACATATATGTGTATATACACATATATGTATGTGTATATATATATATATACACATACATATATGTATATATATATGTGTGTGTGTATATATATATATATATATATAATGATAGAATGGAGTCTCACTGGCTGGAGTGCTACTCAGCTCACTGCAGCCTCTGCCCCCTGGGTTCAAGCAATTCTCATGCTTCAGACTCCCAAGTAGCTGGAATTACAGGCACCTGTCACCATGCCCAGCTAATTTTTGTATTTTTAGTAGAGACAGGGTTTCACCATGTTGGCCAGGTCTTGAAATCCTGACTTCAAGTATCCATCCCCACCCCGTGGCCTCCCAAAGTTCTGGGATTATAGGCGTGAGCCGCCACACGCAGCCATGTATTCTAATTTTAAAAGTCATCTGAATTGTTACTAGAATTACTAATTCGTGATTTACAAAAATATCTATTATTTCTATGTGGTATATTAATTTATTTATCCTTACAATGTAAATTTCTATTTAACTTTAATTGTACATTTATTCGTTGTGTTGAGTGTATCAGCTTTCATTTACATTTGTTAAACTGCATTTGTTTTAATTTTATAATACTATAGTTTACTGAAATAATTATTTTTAATATTACTGCTGATAACAGTTTGTTTTTCTATTTTCAAAAATAATTCAACCAGCCCTCAAAATATCTACTTTGTCTTTTAATATGAAATCTATATTTCTATACCTCTGTATATATAAATATCTATGTCGATACCTAAAGACTAATTAACTACGCACGCACTCATAGATTTATTTCATCTCTACAAAATAATATGAATATATGTTCAGCCAAAATAAATTATCTATGATAACTTTTTATATAATATGTTATGTTAAAAGATAAAGAATGAATATTAAATCAGCTTTATATCTCAGTGCTTTGATATACTGAGACTAGAGACAGGCATTTGAATAAATAAACTAATATAGCAAGACTTGCGTGACCTTGGGTAATGAAGGGACTTCTAAGTACAGAAGCTTAAACCAAAGATATCTATTTTTCTCTTACGTAGCATTCTAGAATTAAGCAATGAAAGAAAGCGGAAAAGCTGTTTTTCTCAACATGTAGTCTCCTCCCTGATTCCTAGGTAGCTCTTCTAGTTGTCACTATTTTCCATTTCTGAGGTTCTAGAGAATAACAAGTAAGCCTAATAAAAATAATATGTAAATGTTCAGTTGTGACTCAAGTTCAGAAAAAAAATCACGTTTCAACAACTGTAGTAATATAAAAAGGGTAAAATACGTGAACTGAGTTTTGAAATCAAGACAAAGAGGAATAAAACCTAATAAATCACAAAGAAACTGACTAATAAATAAACACAAAATAGTTAATTAGAGTTATTATTTCTATTATGATGAAAGTAAGAAGTATTTGCCATCATTTGAGAGAATCACAGAAAAAAAAGGAAAAAAAAAACCCTTGAAACAAATGTAAATGGAAACACAACTTACCAAAACATATAGGATGCAGCAAAAGCAACCCTAAGAAGGAAATTTATAGCGATAAACTCCTATGTTATAAAAGAAAGCTTTTCCTCTAAGATCAGGGACAAGGTAAGAATACCCACTCTCACTCCTTCTTTTCAACATGGTCCTGAAAGTCCTAGCCAGAGCAGTTAGGCAAGAGAAGAAAATAAAATGCATCTCAATGAGAAAATAAGAAATAAAATAGTTCCTATATGTAGAAAACATGATTTTATACATAAAAACCCCAAAAGTCTCCATGAATAAAAACAGAACTGATCAACAAATTCAGTAAAGTTGCTGTATACAAAAACAACGTACAAAAATTTCTATGTGACCATAGTTAACTAGCTAAAAAGAAAATTAAGAAAACAATCTCATTTACAATAGCATCAAAAAAGTTAAATACTTAGCTGTAAATTTAACCAAGGATATAAAATGCATGCATATTGAAAACTATAAAATACTGATTAAAATAATTGGAGAAAGTAAAATAAATGGAAAGATATCCCATGTTAATGGATTGAAAGAGTTAATATTGTTAAAATGCCCATACCACCCAAAGCAATCTATAGTTTCAATATAATTTCTACCAAAATTTCAAATTCATTTCTTACAGAAATTAAAAAAAAAATCTTTACATTCTTATAGAATCACAAAAGACCCTGAATGGACAAAGTTGAGCAAAAAGAACATAGCTGGATGCACCTCCCTGATTTCAGAATTTATTCCAAAGCAATTGTATTCCAAACAGCATGATGCTGGTATTAAAAAAAAAAAAAAAAAAAAGACAGACTGAGCAATGGAACAAGATAGAAAAGGCAGAAATAAACCCACAAATTTGTAGTCAATTGATTATTGACAAAGACGCTGAGAACACACACTGGGAAAAGGATAATATTTTCAATAAACAGTGCTGGAAAAACTGGGTATCCACATAAAGAAGAATGAAAATGGAACTTTATATCTTATACAAAATCAACTTAAAAAAGATTGGATACTTAAACTGAAGACCTGATGCTGTAAAATACTAGAAGAAAACAGGGGAAATGCTCTACAATATTGGTTTGAATAATGATATTTTGGATATGACCCCAAAAGGACAGCAACAAAAGCAAAAACAGATAGGATCACATTAAGCTAAAATGCTTTGGCACACAAAGAAAACAAAGTGAAGAGATAACCCACAAAATGAGAGAAAATATTTGCAAACCATTTATTTGAAAATAGGTTATTATCCAAAATATACAAAAAATGTAATTCTATAGCAAAAAAAAATACAGCAAATAACTTGATTTTAAAATTGGCCAGGGACCTGAACAGTTATTTGTCAAAAGGAGACATACATATACCCAAAAGATACATGAAAAATGCTTAGCATCAGTAATCGACAGGAAAATAAAATTAAAATTACAAAGGGATATATATCACTTTACACCTATAAGAATGGTTTTTATCTAAAAGATCAAAAATAACATGTGTTGGAGAGGATGAGGAGAAAAGGAAACTCCTTTATATATTGTTGGTAGCCATGTAACTTAGTACAGCCATTAGGAAAAACAATATGGCGTTTCCTCAAAAATTAAAAATAGAACTACCATACCATTTAGTAATCCCACTCC
This sequence comes from Homo sapiens, assembly GCF_000001405.40. Taxonomy (NCBI): domain Eukaryota; kingdom Metazoa; phylum Chordata; class Mammalia; order Primates; family Hominidae; genus Homo; species Homo sapiens. The sequence continues at coordinate 130,407,254 of NC_000004.12, read as the reverse complement.
TGTGTATGTTTCCAAAGAAACTGCAATCAATGTATGGAAATCATATCTGCATTCCTTTGTTTATTGCTGCACTACTCACCATAGCCAAGAGTTGGAAACAACCTAAATGTCTGTCAAGAGATGGATAAAGGAGAATGGATAAAGGAGATGTGGTATACATACACAATGGAATACTATTCAGCCTTTAAAAAAGAGGGAAATCCTGTCATTTGTGACAACATGAATAACATCTTTAGGACATTATGCTAAATGAAATAAACCAGACACAGAAAGACAAATGTTACAAAATCTCACTAATAAGTGGTATCTAATAAAGTTGAACTGACAGAAGTAAAGAGTAGAATGATTGTTACCAATTGTTACCAGAGACTGGGGATATAGGGAGGAAATGAATAGAGAGTTGTTGATCAGAAGGTATGAGGTTTCCCATAGATGGAAGAAATAGGTTTTCAGATCTAGTGCACAGCAGGGTGAATATAGTCAATAATAATGTATTGTATATTTTAAAATAACTATAAGATTCTGATTTCAAATGTCTCACCATAAAAAATTATAGGTGAGTAAGCTGATGGATATGTTAATTAGCTTGATTTAATCACACCACATTGTATACAAATAACCTACCATTACATTGTGTCCTGTGAAAGCATACAATTATGACTTGTCAATCAAAAATAACATTAATAGTAAATTTAAAAAAGGAAAATCGAGAAGAAGCAAACAAATATTTAAACACTAACATTTTCATGGGACTAATACTCATTTTATTCACCAAATTTTTGGATAGTTATATCCTCCTAAGGTAAAAAACAATCCTATCTAGGATTCCATTTGTTTAATATGAGTACGTATTAACTTACACTGCCTCTAAAACAAAGCTGGTACAATCTGATTTTCTTTATTAGAAATACAATTGAGGCTGGGAGTAGTGACTCATGCCTGCAATCCCAGCACTTTGGTAAGCTGAGGTGGGCAGATCACGAGGTCAAGAGATTGAGACCATTCTGGGCAACATGGTGAAACCCCGCCTCTACTAAAAATACAAAAATTAGCTGGGTGTGGTGGCACGTACCCGTAGTCCCAGTTACTCGGGAGGCTGAGGCAGGAGAATTGCTTGAACCTGGGAGGTGGAGGTTGCAGTGAGCTGAGTCGCATCACTGCACTCCAGCCTGGCAACAGAGCAAGACTCTGCCTCAAAAAACAAACAAACAAAAAAAACAAAAACAAAAAAAAAAGGAAAGAAAAAGAAAAGAAAAGATATACAATTGGGACAGAAGTATAAGACATAGAAGAGTGATTTTGAAGTAATGTGCTAGACTGTCTACCAACTCCGATGTAACTTTGAGTAGATATCACCTGTAGCAAAAAGGCCAGCATAATAATGTGGTGCTTTCCTATTTCTCATTTAATGGATCACTGAATGTGATAACAGGGTGCTCAGTGCAGTGTTAATTGGATGTGATGGTCTTAGTGGTGCATTGAAGTTTGTGGGAAAAGGTGTGTAATAAAGGTATCTAGCTTAGCCTTGAGGCTTACTGCTCAGGAAGATACATGATTTCTGAGTCTTTACTAATATAAATGTTTGATTTTTATTTTGTGTGTAAATGTTTGGTATCCAGGATTATCTGTTAAACTTTTCCTCTTGCTTCTTTATTTTTTCTTAATTTATGCAATGTCTTTATTAAAACCCAAAGAGAAATCAGCATAAGGACCTCTCCTCTGCCAATTCCTTTTGCAAAAAAAAACCCAAAATATTATTCTTTAAATTACTTCTAGAAGGGCTCACTGGACAGGGAGGTAGGTTCATGAGTGACTGATTAACGTACAGGTGGGGACTCTGTGGAGAACATACTGTATTACCAAACAGACTGGAAAATGTATGCTGAATTATTGTTATGATAATTATCCTCCATTGAGTTTACCTTGATGTTAAAAAGTAGTAATAAAAAATCTTGAATAGATAGAATAATTACACTTAACTGTTGTAATCAATATATTAATTTTATAAAATAATTTATATCAGACATTAATTACAATGATTGAAATTTAAAACCGTTGTGCTAACAATTTCAACTTTTAATAAATGGTATTTAAATCACTATTAAAAATAATATTTTTCTGGTTTAACTTTTTTGTATCTTGGTTTGATTCTTATAGGTATTTAATTTTAGTATATAATTGATAATCAATATCTTAATATGATAAGAATGTATGAAATAAATACATGTTTAGGTACAGTTTAATTCATTGACAGGAATAATTGTGATTTACTACATGTCTCCAGACATGCACACATCAGTGCAAGCACATGCACAGGCTGTATTTTATATAACACATGGAAACCACTGTCCATATATGGATTCTATTACTTATCACTAAATTTATACAAGCTTTATCAAGACTGAGGTGATTGTAACCCAACACTATTCTGTGTACTTTTTACCCAAAATTCTCTGATAATTTTGGATAGAATTCATAAACTAGCAAAGATTACAGTCAATTGCTTTTGACTCCAAACCTTTAAACTAATATTTTAATAATTTGAATATCTTGCTTTGAACATTCATTGGTACAAATTTTTTAAAATTCTATGAAGTTCTCTGAGAACATTAGCTGGACAACTGCTAGGAAGGTCATGAGATATAACAAATTCTGTACTAATGAAGGAAAAAGAAAGCTTTCTACTTCTATCATTAGATTTCTCAAAACCATCATTTTGCTTCTGTAAAGCCTATTGAAAATTCATATTACAGAAAATTTTTATTATGGTATAGTAAAATAAACTAAAAACAGATATTTTGGAAATATTAAAGTATTTTTAAAAGTTAAGCAATGTTACCCTATTATAATCCAACAATTCCACATTTAACATACCATGAGACACACCAGATCAAAACAATGGAAAAAAATACATATTGAAGAAAATCCTAAATTCGCTGCAGTATAATTTTAATCCAGAAAATAATCCATCCCATTACTTATTTTCAGAGAAACAAATACTCACGTAACCAAAGAAGAGTATCTGCCCGGATTACCACCACATCTTTCCTCTCTCCCTCCCTTTCTCTTTCTTTCTTTTTTTCTTTCTGTTGAGGTTGTATTTTCATTCCATTTTTTCTGTCAGTTTTAATTTCAATACTATATGGTACCCTATTGTTCCCTTTTGACCTCTGACAAGTATATGTATCAATAAATAACGCTGAAAAGGAAGTGGAAATATGCTAAATACCAGTTTAATTTTTATTTTAAAATAATCCCTCCCCATTTGACTTTAAGAAAGACAAGTTTCTGAGAGGTGTTGAGAAGATGGCCTGGCTAGGTGCATCTAGGCGAAAAGCTGCCACTAAGGGGCTGGGACTAATGGTGCACTCCTAACAAATCTTCAGAGGGAAGGTATTCAGAGTGGATAGAGGGAAGATATGGGAACTGGGCTGAAGAAGCAGGAAGCTGGGATCCCTGCATATGGCTACCACACACCAGGACTCATGCCTGGCCCCCAGTGACTCTGGGGGCACAGGTGAGTTGAACTGGCAAGAAGCAACATACTCTCACCACAGGCCTCTGGAATCCCAGCAGGAGGAGATCCTTTGACCACTATGGACATTGAGACACTGAGCTGGCAAGAAATGCTGCTTAGAGAAGTGGTAGGAGCAGCACGCCAGCTGATGTGGAGCCCAGAGGGGTTAGTTCAGGGGCGTTTCTATTGGAGGCTGACCAGAGATGCCCATCCCTCTTGGTTCACATGCTCCCATAGGAGACTTAAGTCCTATGGGAACTATTGAATCAGAGCTTTGCAGGGCAGTCTTGCCAACAGATGGGGCTAGTCTGACCTGAGCTCCCCTTAGTTTGCTGGCCTCTCACAGGGCTCCAGTCTGGCTGTGCCTGCTTGCAGGGCAGCCTAGGGTGCACTCAAGTCCTGCATCATAGCTCCTGTGCTGGTGGACCTTGTCTGACTGGCAGGTGGAGAACACTAACAAGACAACCCCATTAGCCATGCACCAGCGTACCTGCTACCTTCCTACACTGCAGTTTTTCCTGGGCCCACAACTTCTGCCCTCCACCACCATTGCTTTGCTGATGTATGTACACATGGGTGGGTTTTGCCTTCCCTTTTCCATCAGCATGCATTTGTGTGTGTATCCGGCCATGTCACTACTGTAGAATGAGTGCATCCCACCTCCTACTGTACCAATGTAGCAGTCAGAGCCTTGGTAGGCACAGAGCCTGATATTGTTTGGCTCTGTGTTCCCACCCAAATATTATCTTGAATTGTAATATCATGTGTGGAGGTGGGATCTGGTGGGAGGTGACTGGATCATGGGGATGGTTTCCCCCATTCTGTTCTCCTGATAGTGAGGGAGTTCTCAGGAGATCTGCTAGTTTAGAAGTGGCAGTTTCCTCTGCACTCTGTCTCTCCTGCTGCCATGTGAGATATGCCTTGCTTCCCCTTCACCTTCCTCCATTATTGTAAGTTTCTTGAGGCCTCCCCAGACATGTGGAAAAGTGAGTCAATTAAACATCCTTTCTTTATAAATTACCAAGTCTCAAGCAGTCGTTTATAGCAGTGTGATAAGGCACTAATACAGAGCCAGACAGCCCCAACCTGCAGTGGGAGTGAAACTAGGCACAGAGAACAGCAGACCATCCTCTGTTCTGAACAACCACCCCTGCCTGTGGTGCACAGAGAGCACACACAGACCTGCACACACCCATGCCTTGACCCCATGCTACCACCAGCACCAATGCAATTGTGCACTGGGGCCTCCCAGCTCCCTGAGCTGTGCTGCACCTGCCACGTTGTGAACACCTGCATTTGAGGCAGGCACCCCAGCATCCACTATCATGCAGCACTACCACTGCCACTTCAGCTGGCATGTGCAAATGAGGTTGGATTCCTCTACCACCACACTGTGAAATGCTCTGGCTGGCCCCACCCATCATAGTGTAGTGACCAGTGGTCTGGGAGCACCTTGGCTCTCTTAAAGTAGTGGATTCCTAAACCGTGAAGAGTGAGAGAACAAAGTTGGGGCCCAATTCAAGTCCCACAGAGTTAGAGCATGCAGTCCAGGAGTTGGGAGCTGAATATTGGCTCCCTGAAATCTTCCAGAAGTGAAGCCAGCTGACTGATGACCACCTTACACCACAATCAAACCCCCAAGGTCATCAAACAGGAAAAAAGAAAAGAAACCCATCCAAAGGTCAGCAACTACAAAAATTAAGAAACATTAGCCCACACAAATGAGAAAGAAGCAGTACAAGAACTCTGACAACTTCAAAAGCCAGAGTGCCTTCTTTCTTCCAAACAACCACAGTACCTCTCCAGAAAGGGTTCTGAACTGGGCTGAGATGGCTCAAAAGACTGAAATAGAATTCAGAATATGGATAGGAATGAAGATCATTGAGATTCAGAAGTACACTGAAATCCAGTCCAAGGAAGCTAAGAATCACGATAAAACAATACAGAAGCTGACAGATAAAATAGCCAGTATAGAAGAAAAATGTAACTGACCTGATAGAGCTGAAAAACACACTAAAAGAATTTATTAATGCCATCACAAGTATTAATAACAGACTAGAACAAGCTGAGAGAAGAATCTAAGAGTTTGGAGACTGGCTTTCTGTAACGAGACAGACAAGAATAGAGAAAAACAATAAAAAATGAACAAAACGTCCAAGAAATATGGGATTATGTAAAGAGACAAAATCTATGTCTAGTATATTGACTTTGGAAATAAAAGATAACATTCTATTTATAGCATTCTGTTTTTAATAGTGGTATTTCCATTTACAAAATATGATAATTCTTGATGGTTGAAAATTTTAAATCCTAGAAAACATAGCATTCCTACATGCAATGTTAACATTGTTTATGAACAGTTGTTGGTCAAAGATTCATTTGATGAATCTGATTTTTCCAAAATAGATGATTCTGACGATTCATACAATTTTGATGTTAGTAATGTTTAGAAATAGCTCCTAGAAAAGTTTTTATATTCAATTTTTTTAATATTTTATTTTCAAATTGAAAATCAAATTTGCTTCAGCCTCACAGAGCATTTTCATACAAAATTAAATGAGTGCTGGCAGCGAGCTGTACCTTCTTTTTTTAAATGAAAAAGGGTTAAAGAAAAAGAAATTGTAACACAGAATTCATATCCAGCCAAACCTTCATAAGCGAAGGAGAAATAAGATGCTTTTCAGACAGGCAAATATGAGGGAATCCATTACCACCAGACCTGCCTTACAAGAGCTCCTGAAGCAAGCACTAAATGAAAAGGAAGGACCATTACCAGCCATCAAAGAAACACATTTAAGTTCACTATAAAGCAACCACACAAAACAAGTCAGCATAATAACCATTTAACAGCATGATGACAGGATCAAATCCACTCATACCAATACTCACCTTGAATGTAAATGGGCTAAATGCCCCCCATGAAAAGGTACAGAGTGGCAGGCTGGATAAAGATCCAAGACCCACCGATAAGCTGTCTTTAAGAGACCGATCTCACATGCAATGACAGCCCTAGGCTCAAAATAAAGGGATGGAAAAAATCTACCAAGCAAACAGCAAACAGAAAAGAGCAGGGATTGCAATCCTAATTTCAGACAAAACAGACTTTAAGTCAACAAAAACTGAAAAAGATAAAGGGTGACACTACATCATGCTAAAGGGTTGAATTCAACAAGTAGACCTAATTATTCTAAATAGATATGCGCCTAACACAGAAGCACTCAGATTAATGAAGCAAGCTCTTAGAGACCTTCAAAGAGACTTAGACTCCCAAACAATAATATTGGGAGACTTCAACTACGCACTGACAGTATTAGACAGAACATTGAGGAGGAATATTAACAAGGATATGCAGGCCCTAAATTCAGCATTGAAACAAATAGCCCTGATAGACATCTACAGAAATCTCCACCGATAAACAAAAGTGTATACGTTCTTCTCATCACCACATGGTACACACTCTGAAATCAACTACATAATCAGACACAAAACACTTCTCAGCAAATGCAAAATAACTGAAATCATAACAACCACTCTCTTGGACCACAGCACAATAAAATTAGTGACCAAAACTAAGAAAATCATTCAAAACTATGCAATTACAGAGAAATCGAATAACCTGTGCCTGAGAGACTTCTGGGTAAATAATGAAATTAAAGCAGAAATCCATAAGTTCTTTAAAACAATGAGAACAAAGATACAACATAACAGAATCTCTGGGACACAGGGAAGGCAATGTTAAGAGAGAAATGTATGGCACTAAAGGCCCACATCAGAAAGTGAGAAAGATTTCAAAACAACAACCTAACATCACAACTAAAAGATGTAGAAAACCAAGGGGGAAACCAACCCCAAAGCTAGCAGGAGATAAGAAATAGCCAAAAGCAGAGCTGAACGGAAAGAAATTAAGACAAAAAAGATCATTCAAAAGATTGACAAATCCAGGAATTGTTTTTTTCTAATTACTAAAATAAATAGACGGACAGCTAGACTAATAAGGAAGAAAAGAGAGAAGACTGAAATAAACACAATTAGAAACAACAAAGGGAATATTACCACTGACCCTGCAGAAATATACATAACCACCAGATAATATTATGAACACCTCTGTGCACACAAACTAGAAACTCTGGGAAAACAAATGGATAAACTTGCAGACACATACACTTTCCCAAGACTGAACTAGGAAGAAAGTGAATCCCTGAACTGACCAATAATAAGCACCAAAATTGAATCAGTAATAAATAGCCTAACAACAACAACAAAGCCCAGGACCAGAGAGATACACAGCCAAATTCTATCAGATATACAAAGAAGAGCTGGTATCATTTCTACTGAAACAATTCAGGAGTAACTGGTTCTATGAGGCTACTATCATCTTGATACCAAAACCTGGCAGAGACACAACAAAAAAAAGGAAACTTCTGGCCAATATCTTTGATGAACATTGATGCAAAAATCCACAACAAAATACTGGCAAACCAAATTCAGCAGCACATCAAAAGATTTACCCACCACTATTAAATATGCTTTATCTCTGGAATGAAAGTTTTGTTCATTACATGAAAATCAATAAATGTGATTCATTACATAAACAAGACTAAAGACAAAAACCATATTATGATTATCTCAGTAGGTGCAGAGAAGGTTTTCAATAAAATTCAACACCCCTTCATGTTATAAACTTTCAATTAACTATGTTTTGAAAGAACATATCTCAAATATTAAGAGCCATCTATGACAAACCCATAGCCAACATACTGAATGGGCAACATCTCCAAACATTCCCCTTGAAAATTGGCACAAGACAGGATGCCCCCTCTCACCACTCCTATTCAACATAGCATTGGAAGTCCCGGCCAGAGCAATCAGGCAACATAAATAAATAAAGGGCATCCAAATATCAAGAAAGGAACTCAAACTATACCTGTTTGCAGACATGATCCTATATTTAGTAAACCCCATAATCTCGTCTCAAAAGCTCCTAAAGCTGATAGACAGACAACTCAGCAAAGCCTCAGGATACAAAATCAATGTACAAAAATTACCAGCATTCCTATACACCAACAACAGTCAGGTAGACAGCCAAATCAAAAATGCAATTCCATTCACAATTGCCACACAAAAATAAATAAATAAAATACCTAAGAATACAGCTAACCAAGAAAATGAAAGATTTCTCCTAGGATACCTATAAAACACTGCTCAAAGAAATCAGAGATGACACAAACAAATGGAAAAATATGCCTATGGATAGGAAGAATCAATATTGTTAAAATGACAAAATTGCCCAAAGCAATTTATGGATCCAATGTTATTCCTATCAAACTGTCAATGAGATTCTTCACAGAAATAGAAAAAAAATTTAAAGTTCATATGGAATCAAAAAAGAGCAAGGTAACCCTAAGCAAAAAGTACAAAACTGGAGGCATCATGCTAGCCAACTGCAGGGCTATAGTAACCAAAACAGCATGGTACTTGTACAAAAACAGACACAGAAATGTAGACATATGGAGCAAAACAGAGAGCCCAGAAATAAGGCTGCACACCTACTGCACAACTATCTGATATTTAACAAAGCTAACACAAACAAGCAATGGAGAACAGGGTCCCTGTTCAATAAATGGTGCTAGGGTAACTGGCTAGCCATATGCAGAAGATTAAAACTTGACACTGTTCTTAAACCATATACAAAAATCAACTCAAGATGGATTAAAGACCTAAATGTAAAACCCAAAACTGTAAAAACACTGGAAGAGAACATAGGCAATACTATTCTGGACCATAGAAATAGGTAAATATTTCATGATGAAGATGCCAAAAGCAATTGCTACAAAAGAAAATATTGACAAATGGGATCTAATTCAACTACAGAGCTTCCACACAGCAAAAGATACGATCAACAGACAACCTACAGAATGGAAGAAAATTTTTTGCAAGCTATGTATCTGATGAAGGTCTAATATCCAGCATGTATTAGGAACTTAAACAAATTTACAAGAAAAAAAACCATACAACCACATTAGAAAGTAGACAAATGACATGAACACTTTTCAAAAGAAAACATACACGCAGCCAACAACCATAAGAAGAAAAGCTCAACATCACTGATCACTGATCATTAGATAAATGCAAATCAAAGCCACAATGAGATACCATCTCACACCAGTCAGAATGGCCATTATTAAAAAGTCAAAAAATAACAGGTGCTGGTGAGATTGTGGAGAAAAGTGAATACTTACATACTGTTGGTGGGAGTGTAAATTAGTTCAACCATTTTGGAAAACAATGTGGCGATTCCTTAGAGACTTAAAATCAGAACTACCATATGAACCTGCAATCCCATTACTGTGATATACCCAAAGAAACATAATTATAAATATAAATTGTTCTATCATAAGGACACATACACGTGTATGTTCACTGTAGCGCCATTCACAAGAGTGAAGACATAGAGTCAACCTAAATGCCCATCAATTGTAGACTGGACAAAGAAAATGTGGTACGTACACACCACGGAATAATACTATGTAGTCATAAAAAAGAACAAGATGATGTCCTCAGCAGAAACATGGATGGAGATGGAGGCCATTATCCTTAGCAAACTAATGCAGGAACAGAAAACCAAATACCACATCTTCTCACTTATAAGTGAGAGCTAAGTGACGAGAACTCATGGACACATAGAGGGAAACAACAGACACTGGGGCCTATTAGAGGGTGGAGGATGGGAGGAGGGAGAGGGTCAGGGAAAATAACAAATGGGTACTACAGTTAATCACTGGGTGATAAAATAATCTGTACAACGAATCCCCGTGACACAAGTTTACCTATGTAACAAACTTACACGTGTATCCCGAACTTAAAATAAAAGTTAAAAAAGAAGAAAACTTTTATGTTATTAATTTAAATTGACAGCGATTTTCATTCATTATGAAACAGGAGGTAACACAAAGTATAAATTAAAGGGAAATAAAACATTATCAAATTAAATCTAACAGCCATTGCTTAATAAAAAAGAAAGGCAAGCTTCTTTATCTTCTTAATGATATTGTTTAAGTAGACATTACAAACTAAAGTAAAAATTCTGGGAAAAAACTTACAATGAGGAAGATCAAATGAAAAACTAACAAGTATAAAATTAATACATCTTCATTTAATCCATTTTCATGTATTTTATTCCTTACAATTGTTCCTAAGAATGTATGGGTACTAAATATTGTGGGCATTAAAGGGAGGTAGATCAAGTACAATTAACCCCTATTTAAGAATATTTCAGTTAGTGTTGACCAAACTGAATTTATTTCATGACAGTCATTGATTAATTCTACCCTACTCCTGGTTTCTACTTTTTTTGTGTACATGACATGCAGAGGCAATGCGTACTAAATAAAGACAGATTCAGACTCCTACATTTTCAACACAAGTTTAGAGGCCAACTATCCTCAACACGATTTATTTATTTAAAGAATATGTTCAGCATGGATGAATTCCAGAGCATGCAGTATTTTGCTCTTCGTTAATAAAAAATATTTTTGGACAAACAGCTTACTTTCTAGCATTTGTTCATATTGACTGAATTGCTGGGATTCCAGATTTACACTAAAGCAATCACTGCTAGTGGTGAGTCAACTTTATGTCCTATTTCTCCATGACTAAGTTTAATAGTTTGTGTGTTTCCTTTCTGAATATACCGGATATATCATGGCCAAAATATGTTTGTCTAATTTTGTTATTCATGCTAAACTTCTCATCTGTCACAATCATGAGTTTGTAATAGTTATTATAACCAAGAACACTTTGAAAGTTAACATTTCCCTGTGTTTCCTGTTTCCTGACTTCTTTTAATGCAATCTTTTTGCCCACAAATTCAAATAAAGCACAGTGTATTCTACTTGTGAGTTCATAAGTTGAGCATCATCTATATATATGTATATAAAAAATATATATATATATTTTTTTTTTTGAGATGGAGTCTCACCCTGTCACCCAGGTTGGAGTGCAGTGGTGCGATCTCAGCTCACTGCAAGCTCCGCTTCCAGGGTTCATGCCATTCTCCTGCCTCAGCCTCCCAAGCATCATATTTTTAAAACTACTTTACATAGGCAAGTTTTGTCAAATAATATTTAAATAGAGGTATTTATTATGAGTCTGTTACAGGACAATTGACAATCTTGCTTGATTCATCTAGCAGCTTTAAATATAAGATGCTATTGCTGAATGCATACACACTCAAACAAAGGCACATGGAAAAACAGAACAGTATATTTATAATTGTAAGCAACGTAGAAAGTTATCAGTCTGATGTTTCTTCTCATTCCATTCCAGAATGTACCATAGTTGAAATGAAATTCTGAGATATACTTTGATTTCAGCTTTGAAGAGAGAATTGCTCATTTTTTAGTGGTTACAGTGTTTGCCAATGAAAGATTTATATAATTTAATTTTTTCAACTTCAGTGCCTAGTAATAGGGCTGGGAGGTATTAACGCAGGTAGTAGGAAGTAATATCTGTAGTCTTTTTAAAAATTTTTTTCTTTTCTTTTTTTTTTTGAGACAGTGTCTTACCTCACTCTGTCACCCAGGCTGAAGTGCAATGAACATGCAATCTCGGCTCACTGCAGCCCCGCCTCCCGGGTTCAAGGGATTCTCGTGCCTCAGCCTCTCAAATAGCTGAGATTACAGGCGTGTGTCACCTGACCTAGCTAGTGTTTTGTATTTTCTAGTAGAGTCAAGGTTTCACCATGTTGGCCAGGCTGGTCTCAAACTCCTGGCCTCAAGTGATCCACCTACCTCAGCCTCCCAAAGTGCTGGTGTTACGGGCCTGAGCCACCATGCCTGGCCTAAATTTGTTTTAATAGAATTTATTTTTATTCTACTAATAATCCCACCTCCTGCTCAAAGGAAAATGGATTTACCATAGAATAATATATATTCAAAACAATGCTTTGGGGCATGTTTATTTGGAAATGAGCTACTATGTATTAAAAGATGCATGTTCATTTTCTTTGTTCTTTCTTTGATGTTCTCTGTTACTTGATACTGAGCAACTTGCTGACCACAGTATCTCCTTGTAGTCTTCTGAAATTCCTTCTCCCTTGTGACTAGACAGTTATAAAACCCTGTATTACTTAGAAATGTTTGGTTTTAATGGAAACCCAAATTGTACTTGCTTCAGTTAATTTTTTTTGAAAAAATAATGTATTGACATATAACTAAAAATTCTGGTTTCAGGTAGAGAAAGACTAAACTCCCAATGATGTTCTGAGGGTTCTTATATTGTCATTCTCAGCTTAGTTTATCAGCTCATCAAAGCGGTACATACTTTTCTAAAAACTGTAGTGCTTGGAAGGCTGAGGCACAAGAATCATTTGAACCCGGGAGGCTGAGGTTTCAGTGAGCTGAAATCATGCCACTGCACTCCAGCCTGAGTGACAGAGTGAGACTGTCTAAAAAAATAAAATAAAAAAATGAAAACCATGGTAACAAGTCTCTGGTAAAATGTTAACCCAGTTTTCATCAAATTCTGAAACAGATTGGAGTTTGGACTAGGCTGGTTGACTGTGACCATATTTTATTTCACCATTTCACTAAAGATCATGCAGAAAAACAGGCATATCACATGAGATAGAAGTACAAAGGAATGAGGAGTCAAACATTGAATTGTATTATTTAGCTATTTCTGCATAATGAAAGATTCTAAACTAGTTGGTGTAAAACAATGAACATTTATTATTTGTGTTAAGTCTATAGTCATCTGGGTGATTCCACTGATAGTTGGATTCAACCTATCTTAACGGTGCTTGTTCTTATGTCTGCAGTTATCTGTTGTGGGTTGAGTGGACCTGGATCACATAACATGGCCTTGGCTGTTATGACTTGGCTGTGCTCCACATTCTATCTCATTCTGCAGCAGAAGAATGTAGACTTGTTCTCACTGCAGATGAAGGGCTTCAAAGCAGAGAGTGGAAAAAACAGAAGCCTCTCAGGTCTAGGTTCGGAAATTACTTGTCGTATCTACTGCATTCTACTGACCAGGCCAGGCCATCCCAGATTCAAGGATGAAGAAATAGACTTTGCCTCTTAATGGAGGCACTGCAAACTTATAATGCAAAGGGCATAGATAGAGGGAGTAGTGGAAAATTAGGGACATTAGTACAATTAACCTGAAACACCAAGAAAGGGAGAAAGTAAAGCTGGGCAGGAGAAATAAATTTAAAAAGATGTCTTTACTGCTGACTTTAAATGTGGACTGTGGCTTTTGTGGTTAAGACCCCACTTAAGTTTTTGGCTTAAGGCTCATGCCAAACTCAGCTTTATAAGGTCCCACAATTCTTCCAACAAAAATAATGGCTTCTCAAAGATAATAAAGCAGTACTTTGTTTCCCATTAGTTTTATCTTTCTTGCCTATATGTTCTTCAAGAGCCCTATAAGGAATGTGTATTTTTCAGAGAAGTTGTGGGTGTCTCTGTGCTACATGCCATTAAAAATCAAAACCCAACTCTGATTTCTAACTTTGGCTGAAATATTAATCCCACTTGTCTGGACTCTATAATTTATCTAGAGCATTTACAAGAGTGACTTTTTAGTTCTCAAGTAACTCAGCAAATAATGTATTTATTTTGTTCCCTTTTTTTCAAAGAAAAAATGGAACTTTCCAAATTAGCATCTAAGCAAATTGGAGACACATTGGGGAGGGCTGGCCTACCAACACTTTTTAGTCAAACATAAAATAGGCAACCGCTACTATATGGGAGAATGTGAGCAATAGTTCTGGGGTGAAGAAATCTTCCTCAATGTGACTGAAAATACACTTAGTGCTAGAGAAGTCTAGGCACTAGGTCAGATCCAAAGGGCAAGTATTTTAAATTAATGAAATTTCTTTCTTTTACACCAAGCTTCTACAACCTGTGACCCAATGTGGCCCAGGACGGCTTTGAATGTCATCCAACACAAATTTGTAAAATTTCTTAAAACATTATGAAATTTTTTTGCAGTTTATTTTATTTTTATTAATTTTTTTTAGCTCATCAGCTATCATTAGTGTTAATGTATTTTATGTGTGACCCAAGACAATTCTTCTTCAACTGTGACCAGGGAGGCCAAAAGATTAGACACCCCTGTTTTACATCATTGTTAACAGGATAATAAATTAGGGCATTGATAGGTATCAGAGGATTTTTTAATTTTATCATATTATTTTATGTATCCGAATTTATATATTTTCAATGATTCCAAAAGTGTGATGCAATTAATATTCTTACATAGTGTTAAATACTAATTTTAAAAATAAACTTTATTTCAACATATCAGTGTATTACAGCTTTAAATAAAATAGTGTTATGATGAATGAATTACATTTTTATGGAATAATATGCATTTTTCACCATTTTAAAAGAAAGTTAAGAAAAATTCATTAATGAGTTTATTAGGACAGGGTGATATCTTAAAGGATATATTGATAATTCTCACTTCTGCTCTAATGTTTGCAAAGAAATTAAATATTTTATTTATATGAATATCTAGAAATAGAAAATGTTAATATATTCATTTTTTAATGTTGTGTTTTGTGTTTAATTCAACAAGCAAATATTATTTATAACGTTTACATTCATTCAGCATAACATCCCAACTCTGTGTTAATAGCATTTTTCCCACTGGGAAGGATTAATTAGTAAAACTTGAGAAACATATACCATAAGAGAAGACCTGTGCAGTGTTCTTGTTTTAATTAAGTCATAATAACATTATCCAAACAGGTTGCCATTTTCCTTACAGAAGACTCAACTCAGCCTCTAAAATGATGTCTTGAATGATTGTTCATTACCAGGGTGTTAGCCAGTGTGTAAAGGATGATGACCTCAGTCTCTCCTTTGACAAAATGGAAGCTCTTATAGCAGAAAACAGCACCACAAATAAGACATTTTATGGAGATCTTACTTTACTCTCTACCCATATAATTCTATAAAGTGGAGGGGTAATTTACTTTGAAGAATACATTTGCACATCCAAAGATTCAGGTCCATAAATGTATTAAATAATGCTTACATACTTTCACTGAGGCATAAATGGTCAATTGTATTAAAAGCAGAGACAACCAGAAACTTTCTCCCAAAAAATAAAATAAATTACCTAATTCTTGAAACCCATAATGTAACACAAAATAATTAATGTGGAAATAATTAAAGAAAAACAGATTCAAAGATTTAAATATAAAATTACTGATTATTTCTTATATAATTTATTGTCCATATATGTGCATTGTATTTTAAATTCTAATTTAGTTTTCTGAAAATATGTTTTTATATTCTTGAATACAGCTGGAAATTAGAGAGCACTACCATGTTTGCAAATATATTCTGATATGGAAAAGGCACAAGATTCTACATAATCCAAAAACAGAGGGTCTTGCATCCATTTTCTGGATAGTTCAGCTGAATACAGATTTGCTTTTATTTTTGAGGGTAACACTTTCATAAACTAAATAGACTTTAATTCCACCTGTGATATATGTGGATGGAACCTAGAGGCACATTACATGTAAGGCTGAAATTACTACTGCATGATAAACTACCAGAGAAATGTATTCATTCTTTCTAGCTACTAATTTATTACTCAATATACTGAATAACCAATGTATTAAATTGAGCTCTCTGAGCTTTCTCTCCTCTTGGTCTTCCAATTAACAAGTTGGCAACAGCTCAAACTCTTATCTGACTCACTGTGATATTAAATCCAACATGGTATAGTAGGGATATATTGAATTTTATATTTTTACTTTTGATTAAAATTTGAAAATTTATCATGCAATGTTGTTGTTCGGGGATAGAAAAGAGTTTGAAATATTTCTGGACGGGAAAAAAGTGTTAATTGAATGCTTATTGGTTAGGTTATTTAAAACCATTCATGATAAGAAATCATCAGAATAAGCATGCTTTACTTTACCTTGAAATAAAATTAATTTCATTTTAAAGTCTTTTAATGTTCCTTAATATTGAATATACAATGCTGAGATAAGTAAAGTGGTATTTATTCACCATTTCTCAGGCAAGTTTAAGCAAAATTGAAAATTTTAATTGCATCTGATTTGACCATTGCTAAGATGATTAGTTTTTCTTATCATAAGGACATAATTTTAATATTTACTTTTGGAATATGAGTAGAAAAATGAGGAGAAAGGATGAGCAAGAAGGGAAGGATGAAGAGGCAAAGGAGGTCAGTGGGGAACAGAAAGTTGAGAAAGAACAGAAAGAAGGCATTGTTATAGTTTAAAATACATAACTTAGCTATCAATTCATCACTAATACTAAGCCTACACAACATGGCAGTAAGTTGTACATTAAGATTAGAAAGTTAATTTTCATGTATAGAAGGTTGTTCTGTATTCACACCTGAGATGGCTATTTTGACACTTAAGATTTTTTAGTTTGTGAGGCTTTAAAAATATTTTTCCATGTTTTTTTATGTGGAAAAATACATATAACAAAATTTGCCATCTTACCCATTTTTAAGTATACAGCTTGGTGGTATTAAACACATCCATAATGTTGTGCACCCACCACCACCATATATCTCCATAACTCTTCATCGTGTAAAATGGAAACTGTGTACCCTTGAATCAATAACTCCTCATTCTCTCCTCCCCCGGACCCTGGTACCTACCATTCCACTTTCTTTCCGTATGACTTTGACTATTCTAAATATCTTATGTAAATGGAATTAACAGTATTTGTCTTTCTGTGACTGGCTTATTTCACTTAGCTATGATTTGTTTTTAGTTCAGTAAATATTTAGGTTATGTACAGAAGTTCTGTCTTAGTGATTCAATTTTTACATGCATATGCAATGGAAGGGAAAAACTAGTCAATTATTAAGCTAATTTATTTCCAAACTATTTTCACAACTTAATATGACTATATTATTTTTAAATGATCCATAGCTTTCATCTCTAATTCACTTGTCATAAGCAAATGTAATATTATATCTATATGTCACTAGACAGAGAACTTGATATAAATGTTTTTGCAGGACCTATAGAAAATGTTATAGTAATATATATGGTGCACACCTAGAAAAATATAAATGCATATGTTTAATTACATTGATATATGGATATTTTTATTATTATTTATTCAGAATTGAGATCATTCTGACTTTTCAACTTGTTTGTGATAAGTGTCAAAATAATTCAAATAACAAGTCAGTGAGATTATTTTACATTATAGACACTGTGGGAGTCCTATGCAGATTTTCATCCTGCCGAATAATAAAGACAGACTGCCTAATGTGCATACTCAATCTAGAAATAAAACTGAACACTTTGCAAAATAACTTGGAATATAATTTGTGTTCTTAAAATATTACCAAGATTCATTTTCTTCCCTAATGTGTCACTATTTCATGACTTCCCACATCTTTGAGATTTTTCTAGAGAAAGCTCCTACTCAAGTATATTTGAATCATAGGTAAAGCTTTTATTGTTTTCTTATTTTGAGCTTTTAAGACACTATAATTGAACTCTGTTTTTTGCCAAAACTAACAAAACATGTGGCTTGTTAAGTTGTCTAGACCAAGCAAAACTTCAAATGCAACAAATTGAACAACAATAAAAATAATAATTATCTACCAAATCTTTAAGTTTCTATTAGTTGTTCTTCCTATTACAACTTCTGACATGTGCACTGGTTAACCATTGACTTTCATCAAAGGCAATTATAAACATCCATTCCACCATGACACTACAAAATCTGGGGAAGACGATAATAAAGCTTTCAGGTCACTCATGCTGTGCAGTGATTCACACTTTACGTTATAATTGCATTGGAGATTGGAATATTTGTGACTAAATCTAACCTGAATCAAAAGCTAATCAAGATACTGACTTTATATACAATATACTATTACTCAGTCATAAAAAAGAATACAATTATGTCTTTTACAGCAACAAAGATAGAACTGGAAGCCATTATCTTTAGTGAAATGACTGAGAAACAAAAAGTTTTAAAAATGTGTGTTCCCAACTAGAAGTCAGAACGAAACAGTGGGTACATACAGACATACAGAGTGGAGTAATAGACATTGGAGACTCCAAAATGCGGGAGGGTGGGAGGGAGGGAGGGAGGCAAGGGATAACATCCTACCTATTGGGTACAATGCACACTATTCAGGTGATGGGTACACTAAAAGCCCAAATTTCACCACTACGCAATATATTCATGTATCGCAACTGGACTTGTACCCCTAAATCCATAAAATAAATAATTTTTGAAAATAAAAAATTAAATTAAATTAAATTGTATAAATTTAAACTCATACATCAATTTCTAAGAACAAGTGAACCGACATTTCTGAAAATAAATAAAAATTGTTATTGCTTTTACATTTAGAATATTTTAAAGAGGTATCAAAATATATAAAATGTGAATTATTATTATATCTGTTGGGTGTATACCAACGTAACCTTCAAAGCAGCAAACCCCAGTTTATCTGAAATTTATGGCTTCTCATAAACTAGGGTTTCCTCAGATCAGAAATTTAGATTTTCCTGCCATGTAACAGCATAATATATAAAACCTGTGCAATTGAAAAGGAAATAAAGTATAAAACAATATATATTTTAATAGATGATCTCTTTTACAATATGGATTATACATACCATCTGAGAGAAGTGGGGTTTCTGCTTACTAAGGGCTACTCATATGTATATAGCATCTAGTCTTCTGCTTTTCCAAAAGCAAGTAGCAATGAATAGCTGAAGATTTGTATTCATATTATTTCTGCAAATCAAATAATTAAGTTCTACTTATTCATATTTTTATTTCTCAAAAGAAATATGAAACTAATTTGGAAAATACATTGTGTTTTTTCTGCATCATTCAAAAACAACTCAGAGTAAAATGTTTATTTTTAATATATGAAAATTATTGCATGCTTACTTATGGACACTATGGGCTTTCCAAGTAGGTACCATGTCTTGCTCATCAAATAATTATCACAGTGCCTATCCCAATGCCTGACACGAAGTAGAGACTCAACAAATATTCCAAGAAAAAAAGTGAATTTCAGATATTAGTTTCTAGGATGGTACCTAGTTTTTCTATACACTAATTCTGATTCCTCAGTCTGGTATGGCGATTATATAAATACATATATATGAATTATAGTATAGCCATAAATAAATAATACCACCTTTTCCCTAGGGGAAAGCTCAAAATGATTTTGGTTAAACAAGGATTATGAGCCTTTTTAATTACTTGCAATTAAGAATCAGAACACACCCTTGTCTTATGGCTCTTTTAGAAAAATATTCCCTAGGAATTTCGGTACAGTTTAGGCTGTAATTGTAATTGACAATTACAATTGACAGTTACAAGATAGTAATAAGAGTAAAGCTATTCCCTCTTTAAATTCAACTAAATTATAAGTGGATTCTACTCCAAAATTCATACTGAAAATAATGCAAGTTCAAAATAACTTTCTCCACTAATTTATTATATAGACATTCTGTTACGATTCTAAATAAAAGATAACAAAGCATACAACGATCCCATCTTATTAGAAATATAAATCTAATTTTTCCTAATAAATATTATACTTGGCCAATAGTATTTCTGACCATGGCAGAGTGTGCTTTCTGTAGATAGACACAACGATGCCTTCCAACTCACATAATCATCTCCCTGAACCTGGAAACATGGTGAAAGTGACTCCACAACTCTTCTTGAATTATATTAATGCCACACACATCTATTTTGTTTCTAGGGATGCTCCCACTTGGAATACAGTCACTGTGTTGCAAGCAAACTAAAGTTAGCCCTCATGGAGAGCAGGTGTTTCAGCTGACATCCCAGCAGAGGTTCCAGCTGACATTTAGCATCAACCTTTATTTATATGAGAAAAGTCATCCCTTCCCCCAGCCATAGAATCACCTCTAACCTTCATGTCTTTCCAGCTGAAACCCATACCCTGTGGAAAACAGCTAAGCTCATCCCTGTACTGAACAAGAAGGCCTTAAAATTCCTCTCAACTTGACTAATCTTAGACAGGTTTCTTCCTGACTACAGATCCATGACCTTTCTTTTCTAGAGCATTTACTTACAACAACTTGCAATTATAAACTTTTTCTCTGCCTCTATGAGATGTAAAGCTTCTTCCCTCTTCTCACCAGTTTTACAAGGAATGTCTCCGTCAAAGTTTAAGGAACAATCCCTTTGAAAGGTATATTCATTTAAGGAGATATTGTCCCTAATTTTGAATCTCTGGGGAGGTTAGGAGTCTCACTTCAAGCAAAGATAGATGACATAGTCACTTCGACCAATTTCTTTGCTAATGTCATCTGCTAATGCCTTTGCTAATAGTTTTCCGTTAGCTTATTCCAACATTTTAAAATTCTCCCACCTTTTCTTTCAGTGAAGTTGAATATAATTGCTCTCTTTTATTGAAACAGTCTTGATCCATATTGCAAGAGTCTTGACTGAAGTCTCCTTGTCTTTTTTTTCTTTTTCTAGAGATGGGGTCTTGTTATGTTGCCAAGGCTGGCTTCAAACTCTGGCCTCAAGTGATCTTCCTGCTTCAGCCTCTGGAGTAGCTGGGACTACAGTTTCCTTGCCATTTTTAACAAGTGTCCAGAGCATTTCTTTCTTTTATAGTTCCTGGTTGAACTTTTAACCTACAGAATTCATGTACGTTTCAAATGTTTTTATGTCATTAAGTTTAGGGTTATTATACAAAAACAGTAGTTAGAACACAGTTTATCCTGAAAAAAAATCATTGCAATATATAATTGAAATTATATATAAATAAAAAATATGAGAGAACAGTACTGTTTTAATGCAAGAAGTTAGAAGAAAAAATGGGAAAATTAAGAATTTTAATTGATCCTTTTCTCAAATATACAATGATATACATATATATATGTATATATATATATATTTTTTTTTTTTTTTTTTTTTTTTGAGACCGGAGTCTCACTCTGTCTCCCAGGATGGAGTGCAGTGGCACGATCTTGGCTCACTGCAAGCTCCGCCTCCTGGGTTCACGCCATTCTTCTGCCTCAGCCTCCCGAGTAGCTGGGACTACAGGCGCCTGCCACCATGCCTGGCTAATTTTTTTTTTTTTTTTTTTTGTATTTTTAGTAGAGACGGGATTTCACCGTGTTAGTCAGGATGGTCTCGATCTCCTGACCTCGTGATCCTCCCGCCTCGGCCTCCCAAAGTGCTGGGATTACAGGTGGGAGCCACCTCTCCCAGCCCACAATTATATTTTTTATTAACCTTTGCCATGGAAACCTAGCCCAATTCATGCTGGAATGGAGGAAATTGTTCACCTTCTCTTGACCAACAGTTGGACTGATGACTACTGTCAGACAATGCTCATGATCAAGGTTAGATTCACCATTCATCCTTTGTTGCTACTATTAACCTCAAGTGTTAGTTCATCACTGCTATCTATTGGATTTTACCGTAATCATAATCTTCTTTTGTCAACTGGAAGTTTAAACCTTCTCCACTCTCCTCTTATGTTTTTTTGTTCAACACTCTTTCACTCATCAGTGTAAACAGAAGCCATGAAACCAATTATAGTGTAGACTCATCTATTTTTATTACTTTTGTTTGTTTGTTTTAGTAAATGAGATACCACTCCTTCTGTCTTAGGCCAGTTCCTTCAACTACACCTTAAATTTCAACACCTTCCACATTCTCAGTAGGAACTTCACCATAGAGGCAGGCAATAATAGATGTCAAAATTTTTATAGACATTTTGTTAGTAAATATAAAAATTTTTTTCACTTTCATATTGCTTGACTTCTCAGCAGCATTTGAGAGTGTGTATCTGCAATCCCAAAGCTCAGGCAACGAAAGCAAAAATAAACAAGTGGGACTACATAAAACTAAAAAGCTCCTGCACACATACACACACAAAACAAAAACAAAACAAAATCAACAGAATGAAGAGTGGAGAGAATCTAAGGATTGGGAAAAAAAGAATTGCAAACCATATATTTGATCAGGTGTTAACATCCGAAATACATAATGAATTCACACAACTCCATAGAAAAAAGAACACAAATAACCTAATTAAGAAATGAGGAAAGAACCTGAATAGACATTTTTCCAAAGAAGACATACAAATGGCCAACAGATATATAAGATGGTGCTCAACATCACTAATTAGCAGTGGAATGCAAATCGAAACCACAGTGTGATATTACCTCACACCTGTTAAGATGACAATTATGAAAAAGACAAGAGATCATCATTGTTGGTGAAGCTGTGAAGTAAAGGGAACCCTTGTACATTCTTGATGGTAATATAAATTGGTACAGCAATTCTGGAAAACATGGAGTTTCCTCCAACAATTAAAAATAGAACTACTTTATGATTCAACAATACTTCTGCTAGATATAAAAGAAATGCAAATAGCACCTAGTAAAACAAGCTTTACTCCCATGTTCATTGCAGCATTACTCATAATGTTCAAGATATGAAAACAACCTAAGTGTCCACTGACAGATAAATGGATTGAAAATAATATATTAATATGAATTATATATATATATACTTGTCAGCCTTAAAAATGGAGGAGATACTGCCATTTGTGACAACATTCACGTTGTCACAACATTCATGTTGGTAACCCAGAGGACATTAGGCTAAGAGAAATAAGCCAGATACAGAAAGAAAAATATTGCATGATTTCACTTATACATAGCAAACAGAGAATAGAACAGTGATTACTGGGGAAATCAGGGGAAATAAATAGAATGACGTGAAGTGGGTTAAAGGTTATGAACTTGCAGCTATGTAGAATGAATAGGTCTAGAGCTCTAATGTAGACCATGAGAGTTATAGTTAACAATATTGTATTGAATACTGAAAATTTACTAAGAGAGTAGATTTTTAGGCACTCTTGTTTAAGGGGAAGTAAGTAATTATAAAAGGTGATGGATAGAATAATTTGCTTGAATGTAGTTATCATTTCACTATATGTATTAGTTGGTTTTCAGGCTGCTAATAAAGATATACCTGAGACTGGGTAATTTATCAGGGAAAGAGGTTAAATGGACTCAGTTCCACATGGCTTGGGAGTCCTCACAGTCATGGCAGAAAAGATGAAGGAAGAGCATAGGGACATCTTAAATGGCAGCAGGCAAGAGAAGTTGTGCAGGGGAACTCTCCTTTATAAAACCATCAGATCTTGTGAGACTTTTTTTTTTTTTTTTGAGACGGAGTCTCACTCTGTCCCCAGGCTGGAGTGCAGTGGCGTGGTCTCGGCTCACCGCAAGCTCTGCTTCCAGGGTTCACGCCATTCTCCTTCCTCAGCCTCCCGAGTAGCTGGGACTACAGGTGCCCGCCACCATACCCGGCTAATTTTTTTTTTGTATTTTTAGTACAGACGGGGTTTCACCGTGTTAGCCAGGATGGTCTCGATCTCCTGACCTCATGAGCTGCCTGCCTCAGCCTCCCAAAGTGCTGGGATTACAGGCGTGAGCCAGTGCACCTGGCTGAGACTTATTCACTATCACCAGAATGGCATGGGAAAAACCTGCCCAATCATTCAATTAGCTCCCACTGGGCTGCTAATAAAAACATATTCAAGCTAGGTAATTTATAAAGGAAAGAGGTTTAATGGACTCACAGGTCCACATGGCTGGGGAAGCCTCACAATCATGGCAGAAGATGAAGAAAGAGCAAAAGGACATCTTACATGGTGGCAGGCAACAAAGAGAGTGTGCAGGGGAACTCCCCTTTATAAAACCATCAGGTCTCATGAGACTTATTCCATTTGATGACAATAGCACAGGAAAAACCTGCCCCCATGATTCAGTCACCTCCCACCACAATTACCCTCCCACAACACGTAGGGATTATTACAATTCAAGGTGCAATTTGAGTGGGGGCACAGAGCCAAACCATATCATTCCATTCTTGGCCCTTTCCAAATCTCATGTCCTCACATTTCAAAACCAATCATGCCTTTCCAATAGTCCCCCAAAATCTTAACTGATTCCAGCATTAACCCAAAAGTCCACAGTGCAAAGTCCCATCTGAAACAAGGCAAGTCCTTCTGGCTATGAGCTTGTAAATCAAAAGCAATGGGAGTACAGATATTGGGTAAATAACACCAATTCCAAATGGCAGAAATTGGCCAGAATGAAGGGGCTACAAGCCCCATGCAAGTCCGAAATCCAGCAAGGCACTCAAATCTTAAAGCTCCAAAATGATCTCCTTTGACTGCATGACTCACATCCAGGTCACACTGGTGCCAGAGGTGGGTTCCCATGGTCTTGGCCAGCCATGCTTTTGTGACTTTGCAGGGTACAACCCCCTTCCTGGCTGTTTTTGTAGGCTAGTGTTGAGTGTCTGCAGTTTTTGCAGGTACACGTGCAAGCTGTCACTGGAGTTACCATTCTGGGGTCTGGAGGATGGTGACCCTCTTCTCACAGCTCCATTAGGCAGTGACCAGTGGGACTCTGTGTAGGGGGTCCCACCCCACATTTTCCTTTGTCACTGCCCTAGCAGAGGTTCTCCATGAGGGCCCCACCCCTGCAGCTAACTTCTGACTAAACTTCCAGGCATTTCCATACATGCTCTGAAATCTAGGTGGAGGTTCCCAAACCTCAATACTTGACTTCTGTGTACCTGCAGGCTCAATATACACGAAAGCTGTCAAGGCTTGGTGCTTGCACCCTTGAAGCCATGGCCTAAGCTATACCTTGGCCCCTTTTAGCCATGGCTGGAGCAGCTGAGATGTAGGGCACCAAGTCCCTAGGCAGTATGAGGCAGTGGGGAGCTGGGCCTGGCCAAGAAAACAATGGTTTCATCCTTGGCCTCATGGCCTGTGATGGGAGGAGCTGCCCTGAAGATCTCTGACATCTCTGGAGACATTTTCCCCATTGTCTTGGTGATTAACATTTGGCTTCTTGGTACTTATGCAAATTTCTGCAGCAGGCTTCAATTTCTCTCCAGAAAATGGATTTTTCTTTTCTATAGTATTGTCAGCCTGCAAATCTTCCAAGCTTTCATGCTCTGCTTCCTTTTGAATGCTTTGCTGCTTAGAAATTTCTTCCCCCAAATACCCTAAATCATCTCTGTCAAGTTCAAAGTTCCATAGATCTCTAGGGCAGGGGAAAAATGCAGCCAGTCTCTTTGCATAGCAAGAGTGACCTTTATTCCAGTTCCCAACAAGTTCCTCATCTCCACTGGAGACTACCTCAACCTGGACGTTATTGTCCATACCACTATCTGCCTTTTGGTCAAAGCCATTAGACAAATCTCTAGGAAGTTCCAAACTTTCCCACGTCTTCATGTATTCTGAGCCCTCAGGGTCTCTAGGAAGTTTGAAACTTTCCTGCACTTTTCTGTCTTCCTCTGAGCCCTCCAAACTGTTCCAACCTCTGCCTGTTACCCAGTTCCAAAGTCACTTCCACATTTTAGGGTATTTTTGCAGAAGCACTCCACTCCTGGTACCAAAATCTATGTTATTCAGTGTTCTCTAGAGGTACAGAACTGATAGGATAAATGTATGTATAAAAGGGAGTTTACTACAGAGTATTGACTCACACAATCACAAGATCATGTCCCGCAATAGGTGGTCTGCAAGCTGAGAAGCAGTGAAGCCAGCCTGAGTCCCCAAACCTCAAAGGTAGGGAAGCCAACAGTGCAGTTTTCAGTCTGTGGTCAATGGCCCGAGAGCCTCTGGCAAACCACTGGTGTAGGGCCAAGAGTCTGAAAGCTGAAGAACTTAGAGTCTGATGTTCAAGGGCAGGAAGCATCCAACATGGGAGAAAGATAGAGGCCAAGAAGACTTAGCCAATCTAGTCCTTCCACATTCCTCTGCTTGCTTTTATCCTAGCTACACTGGCAGCTTATTAGATGGTACCCTCTCAGATTGAGGGTGGATCTGCCACTCCTAGTCCACTGACTCAAATGTTAATCTGCTTTGCCAGCACCCTCACAGACACATCCAGGAATAATACTTTGCATCCTTCAATCCAATCAAGTTGACACTCAATATTAACCATCACACTATATAGGTGTGTATACCAAATTGTTGTACACCTAAAATGTGTGTAAAAAGATTAAAAAAAAAATTGAAAATAAAGACACATATGAAAAAAGCACCTATCTGAAAAAAACTGCCATGAATTTCTTGTATCACTCCAATTTCTTAGGCTTTATATTTTTGATTAGTTTCATTCACTCTAGCATTCGTATTTCTCCACTATAGCTTCAGTTACCAATTATATACTTCCATCTCACAAAACTGTATCTTCGTTGAAGATTTGGTTTCAAAATTTCAAAAATATGTAATCAATTGTCTCCTGAATATGTACACTTTAATGTCTTATAGGCAAATGAAAGCAGAAGAGAAGTTTTTAGCACAAGTAAAAGGATTAGAAAATAGAGAAAAAGAAGGAAGAGCATTTAAAAGGATATATATGGTGTGTGAC
Source organism: Homo sapiens (assembly GCF_000001405.40). NCBI lineage: Eukaryota > Metazoa > Chordata > Mammalia > Primates > Hominidae > Homo > Homo sapiens. Next base: position 130,380,288 of record NC_000004.12, on the reverse strand, counting down.
ATAGAAGATTTCCAAATGAGAATGAACTGCAGTGCCAGAACAATAATGTAAATGGAATAAGTACAATGCATATTATATCTGGTGAGGGAACAAATTGAAATGGAGGAGCATAAGTATGGAGGTCAAGTTCCTGAGATTATTAGGCAAAGAGGTTGACCCAGGATGTCTGTAGTACTATTAAAAACTGAACAAGGCTAAGAGGTGTGATAAAGGCCTATTTACTCTGGAGTAGAAAAAGTAATAAGAAATTGTTTTAAGCAATATTATTTATTGTATAGCATTTATTAAGTGTTGGACTCTATACTGAAAACTTTGAATATATTAACTCATTTATCCTAGCAAAAGTTTTATTAAGTAGAAACTCTTTTTATCGCAATCTTTCAGATGAAGGGTGTGTGAAGAGTTGTATATCGTGCCCAAGTTCAGGAAGATAAATAAGAAGTAAAGCTAAGATATATTCCCAGCTATACTGACTTGAGTTCATGCTTTATGGCATTTGTCACAGTTTTAAAGCTGGAAAAACAACAACAATAACAACAACAACAAAAACTTCTTTCTTTGAATAAACTTTAGTCAGGTTTCTCTGAGCCCTTCTCCTGACTTGGCCTTAACCTTAGCCCCCATCCTTGCTAAGCATGCATGGCCCAGTTGTAGCAAAAATTCTGCTAAGTCAGTTTAACAAAAATTCCCCACCCTTGATATCTAATCACTCTTTACATATAAGCAAATTCATCATCACTTAACTTTGATAGCTTATCCCCCAGCCTATCTTCAGCAAGAATTCTGTTAAGTATTCTTAGAAATAATTCCCCCACCCTGATGTTTCCTCTGAGTAATTTTTCTCTTGATCCCTTTAATTCTGCTGGTTGACTATATATTTCCACTGTCCTTGCTATACTCAGAGTTGAGGGTGATTTCACTACCCAATTGCAATAGATTTGATGCCTATCACAATAGTGCTAAATAGTCTTCCTCCTCAACAAACTATGCCCTGAAGTAACATACCTCAAAATAATAAAAGCCATCTATGACAAACCCACAGCAAACATCATACCAAAGAGAAAAAAAAGCTGGAAGGATTTCCCTTAAGAACTGGAAGAAGATGAGAATGCCAACTCTCAAGACTCCTATTCAACATAAAACTGCAAGTCTTAGCCAGAGTAATCAGAAAAGAGAAAGAAATAAAAGACATTACATGGGAAAAGAGGAAGTCAGATTATCTCACTTCACTAAGGATATGATTCTATACCTTAGAAAACTCTAAAGACTCTGACAGAAGTCTTTTACAACTAATAAACTATTTAGTAGTTTCAGAATACAAAATCAAGTTACAAAAATCAGTAGCATTTCTATACACCAGTAGCTTTCAAGCTTACAGGCAAATCATGAATGCAATCACATTTAAAATAGCTACAAAAAATACCTAGAAATACATCTAACCAAGGAGGTGAAAACTCTCTACAAGAATTTGTAGAGATGGAAAAACATTCCATGCTTGTGGATCATTAAAATGACCATTTCTCCTACAGCAATCTAGAGATTGAATGCTATTCCTATGAAACTGCTAATGTCATTTATCACAGAAATAGAAAAAACTATTCTAAAATTCATATGTAACCAAAAAAAGCCCAAATAGCCAAAGCCGTCTTAAGCAAAAAGAACAAGCCAGAGGCATCACATTCTTCTATTTCAAACTATACTATAAGGCTACAGTAACAAAAACAGCGTGGTACTAGTACAAAAACAGGCATGTAGACCAATGGAACCAAATAGAAAGCCCATAAATAAGACTGCACACCTATAACTATCTCCAAAGTCAACACAAATAAGAAATGGGGAAATGACTCCCTGTTCAATAAGTGGTGCTGGGACAAATGGCTAGCCATATGCAGAGAATGAAACTAGGCACCTGCCTTTCACCATAAACAAAAAGTAACTCAAGATGGATTAAATGTTTAAGTGTAAGACTTCAAAATATAAAAATCCTAGAAGAAAACCTAGGAAATACCCTTCTCATCATCAGCCTTGGAAAGGAATTTGTGGCTAAGTCTTCAAAAGCAATTGCAACAAAAACAAAAACTGACAAGTGGGACCTAATTGAACTAAAAAGCTTTTGCACAGCTACAAAAACTATCAATGGAGTATATCAACAACCTACAGAATGGGAGAAAATATTCATAAACTATGCATCTGACAGAGGTCTAATGTACAGAATCTATAAGGAACTTAAATCAAGAAGTGTAAAATAAACAACCCCATTTTAAAAATGGGCAAAAAACATGAACAGACACTTATCAAAAGAGGATGTAAAGGTAGCCAACCCAGATATAAAAAAATACTCATCATCATCAGCAGTCATCCAAGAAATGCAAATCAAAATCACAACAAGATACCAACTCTTACCAGTCAGAAGGGATATTAATAAATGATCAAAAAATAATATGCCAGCAAAGCTGTGGAGAAAGAGGATGCTTATATAATGTTGGTGGAAATGTAAATTAGTTTAGCCACTGTGGAAAGTAATTTGGAGATTTCTCAAAGAACTTAACACAGAACTACAATTTGATCAAGGAATCCCATTACTGGTTATATGTCCAAAAGAAAACCACTCATTCTACCAAAAAGACACACACACTCACACATTAATTGCAGTACTATTCACAATAACAAAGACATGGAGTCAACCTAGGTGCTCATCAATGGCTAACTGGATACAGAAAATGTGGTACATATACACCATGGAATACTATGCAGCCATAAGAAATAATGACATTATGTCCTTTACAGTTACATCAATGCAGCTGGAGACTGTTAGCCTAAGTGACTTAACACAGGAACAGAAAAGCAAATACAGCATGTTCTCACTTTTAAGTGGAAGCTAAACACTGAGTACACATAGACATAAACATGGGAGCAATAGACACTGGGGACTGCTGGAAGGGGGAGGGAGGAAAGGGTGAGGGGCTGCCTACTGGGTTCTGTGCTCATTGCCTGGATGATGGGATCATCCATACCCCAAACCTAACCATCATGCAGTGCTCCCATTTGACAGACTTGCACATATACTCCCCCGAATCTAAAATATAAGCTGAAGTGATCTTTTAAAAGAAATAAATAGGTGAACATACTAATAACTTTAAAGCAGTTCATATACATTGGCAAATTTTGTTGTGTTTCACCAGAGAGAACATAAATGTTTAACATTAAAGATATGTTTGTGGGAATCATGTATTATCCACAAGATGGACTATTATAAGTCATCTTTAAGTTCTTAACATATGAAAAATGTCTATGATATTATGTTGTTAATAAAAAGGACATAAATAGGTCAAAATGTCAGTGGTGACCATGTAATGGTAATTGAATAATGGGTGATTTCTACTTTTATATGTTTTACATGTACATATATTTTTGCAGTGAGCATGTTTAACTTTCAAAATATGAAATATAATGATGAATGTTTTTTAAAGTTAAGCAATAATAATGAAGTCTTCCTTTTTCCTTTAATAAGTATCAGAATAAATTTTCTTTAACAGTTATGAATTCATGATTTGAATAGGATCATATTAATCATTGGACCTCTGGATCTCTTGGCCTGGATCCCAAATGTTCATTGGTGAAATCTTTGTCTTCACTCCTGACTGACTGATAAGGGATTTATTGGTGATCTGACTCCTGATCCAGTGCTCCAAATGATAATCCATTGAAGTATAGTAAGGGTATACTTACTTTGATTCACATGGTTGCTGAACCCCCACTGCCTATACGCTCTACCAATTCTGCTGGCTTCTTCTCTTGTTGGAATGATTATATTAAGGGTAATATATCCTAGCCTGTTCAGTCTGCTTTAACAAAATACTAAACATCGATTATATTGTAAACCAAGGAAATGTATTTCTCACAGTTCTGGAGATTGGAAAGTCCAAAATCAAGTTACTGGAAGATTCAATGCCTGGTGAGGGACCATTCCTCACAGATAGTACTTTTGAACTGTATTCTCATATGAAAGAAGTGGCAAAAAAGCTATCTCATGCCTCTTTTATAAGCACCTGTCCCATTCAGGGGCATCACACTCATGATCTATTGACCTCCCCAAGTTCTGTCTCTTAATGTCGTCACCTTGGTGATTAGAATATCCGTGTACAAATTTGGGTGGAACAAACACATTCAGGCTATAGCAACTTCAAACTTCAGTGGCTCCCAGGCTCTTCTAAAACTTCTCTCTTCTCATAGCTCTCACTCCTCCTTCCTCATTTACCACCTTCAATTTTCCCTTCGGTTTCCTTGAATCTTTCGATAAGTCGATCTTCAAACTCCTATGTCTTCAATCCCTCTGTTCACCCCTGCCAGACTTTTCCCTTTCAATCCCACCTTTCAACTCCATATAGTTACTGAAAGTTTAGGACATCTGATCTCCCATTGGGAACTCTCAAAGGACTCAGGGGCTCTAAAAACAGCTACAAATCAGGGTAAAAGAAAACCTTAAAAGGCTCCTCCACAAATATTGGCAAAAAGCATTAGTCCTCATATTGAACAAGTAACCTAAACTTGTTCCATGTCAGAAACACTTTTCATATAAAAATATAAAATGTAGCAAAGATAAGAGACAACTGTTTTATATAAACCAGTAAGTTTGTATTATTTTGTTTACCTGATTCATGGCTAAGATTTTAGAATGGAAGCTATAAGGTCCTTGTTTTCATCTATTTGTATATTTATGTATATACAGGTGAATTTTTCTACTTCCGTATAGTATTACCAAATTAACTTGTAAAATCCTATACAGAAGCACTATTCAAATTGCTTTAGTGATAAGTATGTCTTTATATAAATTAAATATTGGGAAAATTTCCAGAAATATGGAAACTAACCCAAATGCTTTCTAAGTTCATGTGAATTGGGTAAATATCTATGAGATGTTTAAGATTATAAAAATTATAAAGTCAACTTAAGAACAAACGTACAAATTAAGATGCAGTTAAAATGAATTACTTTACACAAATGAAGTTCAGTGATACGACAGAAAACCCATGAATTCAACTTTTTTAGGTTTGTTTTGCTTTTGTAACACTTGCTTAACATGAAAGTGCTGTAAAAATAGTTAACAGGAAATAACTTGGGATGATGGCTAGTTTTGTTAAATGTTATAACGCATCAGTCAGAAAATAGTCTCCAAAATATTTTTGGTAACTTACAACTTTATAGTTATCCTAACTTAAATTAAATAATAGATATTCATTAAATATTTAAATCATTTCTAAGTAAGATGAACTACTGATTACAAAGAATATGTTTTACTTTGTATACTTTTGAGTTCGTATTTTTAAGTAGTACAGAGAGGCTGAATATATTTGATTATATTAATTAATAGGTTCTTTTTGCCATAGTGAAAAGTGGCACTATGAAAACATATGTAACTATCAAAATTGTTAGATGTTATATTCATTAAATTTCCTAGCTAGCCTGCTGTAGAATTCTAATATATAACAGACAGTTCACAATTGCCTCCTTCTTAGTTTTCTCTATAGAAGAAAGTTTACTAATGATTAAAAATTGTCATTAATATATGTAAATGAAACTACTAAAAGTAATAAGGATATAAGGTAAACCATTTTGCATGTAAAGTATAAGGATTTGGTTTTGTTAAGAAAAACTGAGTAATTTTGTCCTAAAGTAAAATGACTGATTTCTCCAGAAAAGAAAGAGGAAAATAAAGGAAAAATAAATAAAAGTTTTTAAAGGTTTGTGAAAAAGGTATCTTTGAAAAGGTATCTTATCTTGTGTGTCCAAAGATGGCCTGCATTGAATGAATATATTTATATTTATTAAGTCAACTTTAATATAAAAATACACACACATAAAACTGGAGTTTGGTTTTCTCTTGGTTGCAATTACAAATTTTTCTTGCATTATTGGTTTGCTCTTAAGAGCTTGTAAAAGGCTTCCTTTACCTTTTAAGTAACCTGCATAAAAACAAACAAAGATTATGTGTCTTATCAGAATAATTTCCTATGTTTAATCTTAACCTTTATGAATTTGGTTATTCCAGCAAAATGAATCTTTTTACTTTTCAAAAGAGCTTTTTTTATATTTATGATACTTCATATAGCTACTTTTGAATCTTTTTATTGCCACTTTGGCTAAATAAGCACAAAGTTACAAAGTATTGTTTCACAGTAACTCAGGATCCTCTTTAGTCAAATATTCAAACCTTTTGACAATTTTGACAGTTTTGTCTTCCTAAAATCAAAGCATAAATGAAATATTGATATTGAACTCACCTTGAGACTTTCTATAGCACACATGGAAATTTTCAATGATTTTTTTTTTACTTTTTTTAAAAGAGAAATGTTAAAAAATAATTAGGTTTGTTTGTTATGTTCAATTGCATGAAAGTGTCAAATAAGAGATGCTTTAATCTTTCATAATTTATATGCATATGGTTAAATATTGCTCATATAAGTATTGTGTAAATTTTTCTAAACTACTTTGAAATTTGACAATATTCTTGCTGTCCATGGTTTAGTGTTACCATCTCCTGGTTTAATGCTATCAGTCACAATTCTAGTTATAAAATGTTGTATACCACATACATTACATTTTCTTGGCAAATGACTTTCATCATATCTTTAACCACAGCCATTTTAAGTTTTTGCCATTCACAGATAATTTTTGTTTTACTCTAATTTTTCTCTGGAAGCACTTTCAATTAACTGTAGGCCAGAGTGCTTCATCTTCAGTATAAGGAACTGTCTCAGAGATCCATGAAAAGTACTATGACAAGTATCTGGGGCACAGAATTTTGATGGAATTGCTTAAGTAACTTTGAAACTATACTCCACTATAGTGGAGAAGATGACAGGTTCATAAAGCTGCTAACCCCAAATCAAGCAGCACAATAATTTATTTATTACATAGAAGTGAATAAACTTATGAAAAGTGATTATTTTTTATGACTTCTGTTTGGAGTATTGCTGGTCCTTTAATGTTCTGTGTTCTATGTTTAAGGAACTTCTTTCTACTTTTAAGTTATCTATAATTTATAGAGATTTATTATACTTTTGTGAACATAAATGATTTATCTTTTCTCCCCATTTGATCCTCCCCAAATTTAGAAACTCTTATTAAGTATTCCTATTTTATGGCAACATAATTATTTGCCTAAATTTAGTAAGAATCTTCCTAGCTAGTAACAGTACATATTTGGAAACATTAGTTATATAACCAAGGCTTAGATTGGAATGTCATATTTGAGACTGATGTGCATAGAATCAGATATAATCAGACTGTTTTGTGAAACTAAGGTGAACTTCACGGAGACAATGCTTACAAAGCCCTCTTGGAAAAACTGGCCTGTTACTTGGCATACAAACCTACTAGCCTTACATGTGAATAAGAATGGTTACTTCCCATCAAGCCCGGGAAAATTAGGCTATTTTGAGGCACTCAAGAAGAGAAGAATTCACTTAAATCTATAAGCATTACAGGTGAAGTCTGATGGCAAGATCTTGGCTTGGTTTTCTAGTCTCAAGAGGCTTTTACAAGCACAAGCTAAGATTCGTTATGAAAGATTCAAGCAAAGCAAATTTACAATGGCTTATGTGGTCAATTACCATTTTTGCATCACTTATGTAAATAATCAGGCCAACTCTAATAAGATCATACTTACATTTTAAAATATATTATCAATAAGGGGGGTGACTGGAGGGAGAAAATTTATTTTCAATGGAAAACTATAGCATAATCTTGGTTATTAGATTCCAGTGCTATTTGTTGTTTCCAAGGTTTTGTAATCTACCTGTAAATTGGACTGGATCCTGATATCTTACATGTTTTATCATTTCTTACAAAATTTGAAACTCTTCTAGCTTTCTCCAATATCTCACTAAAACTCTCCAAATGAACATTTCCAATTTTCCCCTACTTTCCTGTCTTGGTGTGGCCAAGAACTAAAACCTGAATGCCCAGATACTTATTGGAATGCTAGTTATCTATAGCTGACTTTCCCCACCGGATCTAAAGAAGCCCGGCAAGCTGAAGCTGAGTAATAGGCAACCTTTTGTCTGGAGCTACTGTTGTGTGGGCGACTCAGGATTCTTCAAGACCAACATCTAGAATTCTTCCCAAATGGCTGCCCTTCTACCTAGGCTCATTCGATAGCTCAGCTGGTCTTTAATGAACAAAAGGCAATTAAATAAACAAATCAATGTCTCTTCTTTTCTTGAACAAGAGGAGCAACTGACAGACTATCTCCTTGACCAAACTTTAGTCAGGCTCCTCTGAGCCCTCTTTTCAACTACGTCTTGAATTTGGCTCCTGTCGTTGCTATACCTGCTTAGCAAATTGGAGCAAGAATCCTGTTAAGTCAGTTTAGACAGAGTTCCTCACCCTTGACACCCGATCACTCTTCAAATCTGATTAAATTTCCTGTTTTCCACTTGTGATATCTGTTCATTCTGGCCTGTCTTCAGCAAGAATCCTGTTAAGTAGGTTTAGCAAAAATCCTCTCAACCGTGAAGTCTTCTCGTTTTTGTATGTGTGTGTGTTTGTTTTGTTTTTTGTTTGTTTGTTTGTTTGTTTTAGACGGAGTCTCACTCTGTCGCCCAGGCTGGAGTGCAGTGGCGTGGTCTCGGCTCACTGCAAGCTCTGCTTCCAGGGTTCACGCCATTCTCCTGCCTCAGCTTCCCGAGTAGCTGGGACTACAGGCGCCTGCCGCCACGCCTGGCTAATTTTTTGTATTTTTAGTAGAGACGAGGTTTCACTGTGTTAGCCAGGATGGTCTCAATCTCCTGACCTGGTGACCCACCCACCTCAGCCTCCCAAAGCGCTGGGATTACAGGCGTGAGCCACCACGCCGGGCCTTTGTTGTTGTTGTTAGTGAAGTCTCGCTCTGTCACCCTGGCTAGAGTGCAGTGGCATGATCTCAGTTCACTGCAACCTCCACCTCTCCAGTTCAAGCAATTCTCCTTCCTCAGCCTCTGAGTAGCTGGGATTACAGGCATGCGCCATCATGCCCTGCTAATTTTTTGTATTTTTAGTAGAGACGGGGTTTCGCCTATGTTGGCCAGGCTGGTCTCAAACTCCTGGCCTCAGGTAATCTGCCCGCCTCAGCCTCTCAAAGTGCTGGGATCACAGGCACGAGCCACCATGCCAGGCAGAAGTCTCTTCTTAATAGTTTTCCATTCACCAACCCCTCCAACCTCACCTCTCTCTCTCTTTCTCTCTCTCTCTCTCTCTCTCTCTCTCTCTCACACACACACACACACACACACACACACACACACACACTGCTCCTTGGTTGTAAATCACCACTCGTCCTTGTTATATTTGGAGTTGATCTCGGTCTCTCTCCCCTATTATAGTATAGTTGACATCTATCACAATAGTCTTGAATAAAGTCTTCCTCAACATTTTAACAAGGGTCAGAATAATTTTTTTTCTTTTTGACAAAACTTTTGGACATATTCTGTCTACATACCATTTACCATTCCAGGATAAAGAAATGAGGCAGTTTGACTGAAATCAAATAAAAATTTAAAAAATAAAAATAACAAGAAGGGATAGAAGGGTGGAAGCGAAGATGAAAGAAAGAAAAGAAGCCAAATGTTTATTTGGGAGACTATATAAAACAAAATTTCCTATTAGGTTTCTCTGAGGCAAATTTCCTTCTCTAGAAACAATATGCTGTTGTATGAGAAAGAATATGAGCTTAAGCTTTAGGCTAACTTGGGTTTAAATCCAGCCTTTGAAAAAGACACACTAAACAAAGGAATGTTTCCTTAAACTGCATGATACTCAGGATAAAGATGAATGAAAAATTTTACAGAAATTTCCCAGCATAAGGTCTTGCATTAGAAATTTACTAGGAGTATGTTTTTTTCTCTACCCTGGAAACCATCTTTACTCAAATTCAACGATGCCAGAACCTTCCTTCAATGCCCCCCATAGACCCATGGTTACAGCACTGAATTCGTCCTGCTGCCTCTGCTGCTGATCCTTGGTTAGAAGGCAGCACAAAATAAGGAGGAAAAAAAGATGCCTCAAAGAATATTTTGACTCATTTCAAAATGTACACAGCTGAACAAATATAAATTTATTGAAAGTGCAATGCTTCTAAAGGAGACACTAAATAATGTGTTTTATTGCCTTGGTTTCTTTCACATGGTAGCTAAAAGAGCCTTCGTTAATTTGTTCAGGCCAATAGCATACACTTTGGTAAATCATTCTATAATTTCATTAAGTTGCATCCGAGTCTTCTATCCATTAAAGTGAAGGTAAAATTCCTTCTTTTATGGCTAAAATACATAGCTAATATCAGAGCTCGATTTACTTAAATCTGATTGAGTTGAAGGCTAAGGTTTCTTGCTGTATTTTTCTGTATCCAATACTGTTTTATTTTTCAAAAACATTTTAGATTCAAAGAACACCAAAGCTAAATAGATAAGGAGACAAAAGCAGCTGTTCCATGATAAATGAAGTAGGTTATTACTAATATGATAAAAGTTAGGAAATCATAAGGAGTTCTCTACAGGTGCTAATTTTACTACTTGAATGAAATTAATAAGACTCTATAAAACAGCAGGAGATTCTTAGATTACATGAGTAATCAGCAAGAAAATTTATTGTGGTTTCATGAAGCATAAAATGTTTGTGTAATATATGCAAAAGTGGTACTTTATTCTCTTCAGTGAACAATTCTCAGTCCTTATAATAGAAAATATTTAATAGTTTGACACCTCTTGAGGCAAAGTTTTTAAAAGTTGTTCAAGTGTGATTAATTTGACTCAATACAAAATAACAATGCAGCAATGCAGAGTCATTTAAAACTACTAGAAGAGCTTATACATTAATGTGATGACATAAATAAAGAGAAAATGTAAAAGGACATCTAAATTTCCACCTTGAGATATAGGCCAAGCTCTGACGTAATGCAGAGCACATAGTCACGTTTCAGAAAATACACATTCAAGAAATAATGGGAAAAAAATGAATGATCCAAAACCTAATAAAAAGAATTAATCTGAAACTTGAGAAGTAACTGTTAAGAAAGCTAACTTGTACTTAGAATATAAAATTTTCAAAGGGGGTTAAAGCATATACTACTTGATTTTTGACTGTAATCTTTAGACTATGTATTTTACACTTAACTGAAATTAACCAAGTCCTATATTGTACTTTGCTTCATGTTGCTGAAAAAAAATTACACACACACACACACACACACACTAACACACCTAAACATATATAATATATGTATATAATTATATATATAATTGGGGTCTTCTTCTTCTCTAGATTTTCCTTCAACCAATATGTTGATCCAGGCCTACATATATGTTTCTTGAATTTCACACACTTAAGCTTTGGGAAATGGATGTCTTTGGAGAGAACCTTATGTACAGTCACATATTCAATCACTAAGTAAATTTACCAGGTAAATACTGTAGTATTTACTAAGTGGTAAATATGTGTGGTATTAGGTTCCCTTCCTTGTGAAAGCAACCAAGATCTTTCAATACAATTTCAGTACAATCAGTTATTTTTTTCTTGCAGCTCTAGTTTCAGGATAATTATTGGGAATATAAAAAGAGAAAATATAGACAAGAAAAAGTATACTAATATCAAACTTTACAATGATTTTTAAGGTAAAATGTTTTTTCTAATATATTGGAAGAAATATATACAGTTTGCAGAAAACTTTAAAGCACATACATGTTACATACCAGGCATTTTTCTAGCAAATTTATGTGCTAACTTATTTAATTAAAATAATAACTTTGTAAGATAGGTATGGTTATTCTCTTCATTTTATTGATGAGAAAACTGAAACACAAAGGATCCATTAGGCCGCGATATTATTTGGTAGAGTTAGGATTTGAACTCTGGTTGTTCTGGCTTTACAACCCAGGCTTTTTGTTGATATAACATACCGCCTTTCATAGAGTGCAGCAAGAGGTAAAGATGTTGGTTTATTTAAAAGCAAGTGCTGTGATCAGTTATGTTTCTATATCTATTTGTGACAAATTTTGAAGATTCTCAGATCCCATTCTCTCTCTTTATACAGAGTATCTTGTTTTGCCTCTTCATCACTCCCCAAGTGCTTTATCCTGATGCCCAGTAAAATGTATCTTATTACATAAAGGGTCAGCTGCTTTAAATCATTAAATGACTCTGAAACTGGATATTTTTCAGGAAGAGAATATGCCTGAATGACAGACAGTAGAATGAGTAGTATGAAATAAAATCATGGCAATCTAATGGATATCTATTCTGGACTGAACTGAAGGCTGATTCCTGTCAAAAAGGATAAACTAAATGGGAAATTGCTCTAATAACCTACACATCATTTATGGTAAAACGTGTTTGTCTGATTAAACCTTAAATCTTGCTAACCTGCCATAGTAATGTGGCTAAGAAATAATAATAATTTTAGATATTCATAACATATATATACCAAGAGTATTTTTAAGGATCATGAAAACTTAAATGCCCAACTTCTTTGTGTAGCGTTGATTTATTATTCATAAGTCTTGGTTTTGAATTTATGAATATTTTTACTTTGGGGGCATTTAACATTCATTGATTTGAGACATTAATTGCAATTTTCTGCACTTGTTATTTTAATTAAGTAACTGAAAATATCAATATAATAGTTGATAATTTGAAGTTCAATTGAATTAGAACTAAGCCAAAAAAAGATTCAAAAAATGCAAGCTTTAGTGCAACTAAGCCAACTGTTTTCTCAAAGTAATTTTTAATTTTTCTATTACAGACAGAGCTGCTAGATCTTTTTATATTGATGATTAAAAATGGGTATTTTTCTATGACCAGACTTACTAGCTTGTTGTGGCTATTTAAGGTAGTCATTAAGCTTATGATGACATACAGATTTACTGATTTTGAAAAGTGAAATACATAGCATTCATTTGTGCAACTACATTATTTTCTCTCGGTTCAAATGTCTAGTGTTGGAAAAACAATTTACTATTCAGGCTGGCCCTTTAATAGAGAATTTAGGTCTAATAATCAACTTTGCAATTCTAGACCCTCAATGTTATTAGTTAACCTATGAATGTTCAGGTTCTCAAGATATTAATTCTTATATCAATGCATTTATTTAAAATGGGATGTATTTCCAGCATAATAAATGAGTCGTTTTCTTCATGACATTCACTTCTATTGTATAATTCTACTCAAAGAACACATTTCTGAATCAGAAAGAAACTTAGAATAAAATTAAACTATAGTTCAATATTAGGATTATCACACAAATCTGGCTATTTAATGATTTAATTAAATATATAAACACATTTTATATATACATATTTATGTGTGTGTCTGTGTGTCCATATAAATAGGATTGGGTTGTAGAGAAAAAATTCTCTGTTGAGATAAATGATGAGATGTCCATTATTCAACAAGCTAGAAGTATGAGGGAATGTCATGTAAATATCATGAGGAAGAGGATTCCTAGTAGCAGAATCAGAGGAGAAGATGAGGAATAGAAAGAGACAGAGATAAGTGAAGGAAGTGAAAATGAGTGAGTTAGAGAGTGATGTTGGAGAAGTACATTGGAACAAAATCTTATAGGCCCATTAGGACATGTTTGGCATTTTGAATTTGATTTTTAATTACTGGAATGTATTGAAGAGTTGCAAACAGTGATGTAGTATGATATAATTGAAATTTTACAGTATAGCTCTGACTGTTGTATTGACTAATCATTGTAAGAAAGCAAGGTGAAAGAGGGAATACAGGAGGGGAGGTTATTATTATAGTCTATGGGGGAGACTATAGTGGCTTTAACCAGAGGGACAGTGGGGAGGTGATGAAACATAACCACATCACTAGGTTCGGCGAAGAAAACTTGGTGATATATAGGATGCAAACTTTAGTAAAATGGGGAATCAATAATAAATTTTAGGATTTGGGCCTGAGTAATCAGGTGAATAGTGGTGACATTTACTGAGATGAGGACTGAGGGGGATGCAGGTCTGAGAGGAAAATCAAATGCTCTGTTTTATCATATTTACTTTGAGATATTTATTAAAAATCCAAACGGAGATGGCAAGTAGGTAGTTGAATACATGAATTCATCAGAACAGTAAGGTCTTGAAATAAACTGTAAGTATCATCAGGATAATAATTTACCTTAAGCTATGGGACTTAATAGAATTACCTAGGGCACAAGTAAAGAGACAAGGTTGTCATCCCAAAGGCAAGTGAGAATGGAAGACTGTAGGTAGAACATTATGGGCGTATATATAGATTTGGAATTTGTCCACATAGCATGCATAAATTCTGGAGCTTAAATATACCACAAAAGGTGAAAAGTAGATTTGTCTTTTTACTTACATAGTTTAGGTTTTTTTTGCTTTTGTTGTTCTAGGGGTTGGGGGGCATTTTCACAGAGACGACAGAGCTCTAGAATAAGTTGTAAAAATAACTGAGGCTGTAGTCCCGAAAATATTGTTTCAAATTTATAAGTATGAAAGTTCAGACTAGGAATAGCCAAAAGGGCAAAAAACAGGTAATATCTGAACTAGATTAATCTTACCTTGTGATTTCCCTAAAACATTGTTTGTGTCTGTATTAGAAATGGGAGAAAAAACAAAAATAAAACATACAAAATAAACCACAAAACAGTAAGAAATCCCTTTGAAAGTGACACTCATATAAATTGTTTACTTCAAAGATATTACCTCCTTCTCAATATTACCAATTCACTTGCATATCTTGTTATTATATGTTCTTTCCATTTAAATTATATAATTACATTTATGATTTTACATAATTTATATTTTACTTTGGTGTGCTGCCTTTATGAAAGGAACATTCTTGAACCTCTGCAGTAATCATGTAGAAAGAGGAAGGGACCTTGCTGTTGAGAGGAAACAATAGAAACAATCAGTTGATGAGGGGAAGTCAAGATGGAGAAATAGTATCTGGATAGGATTAATATTTGACTTTGTATGTTTGAAGAAGTTTTCAACTTCTCTCCTTTTAGAGACACAATAAATATAAGAGTACTAGGTGAGCTGTCTATGTCTTTAGTATCTTTTGGAAGACTCAATGTATTCCACAGATTAAAAACATACTTAGCCACATCCCCTTCTCTGCTAATATGCAATATCTTTAATATGACATGGGCAACTAAGGGAAATTCATCTGTAAATGTAATGGTAAAATCACATGGTTATTAGTGACTATTGACATTTTCATTTCCCGATCACTTTGTTGCTGATGGACAAGCAGCCTGCTAGAAGGGTTCCATATGTAGGACTCTGTCAGCCATATCAATTGCAGAACAATTTATTCTCAGGGCTTGGTATTAGAATAAAATATGTCTAAAAGAGGAAGGGAAATATGTGGCTAGATATTATCCATGAATTGCTTGTAAGTTGAATTTGAAGGTATTGTATTAGTTTCCTAGTGCTGCTGTAACAATCCACAATGTAATAATGGTTTAAAGCAAGACAAAGGTATTATCTTTTGGTTCTAGAGGTCTAAACTCTGTGATGAGTCTCACTGGCTAAAATCTAGGTATCAGCAAGGCTGCGTTCCTTCTGGAGGCTCTAGGAAATAATTCATTTCCAACTTCTAGAGACCACCTCCATTCCTTGGTTTCTAGTAGCATCACTGTGAAACTGTTTCCTTCATCACATCTCCTTTTCTGACTCTGACTGTCTTACCTTTTCTTACAAGGGACCTCATAATTAAATTGAGGGTAACTGAATAGTCCAAGATAATCTCCCTTTCTCATGGTTTTTAATTTAACCACATTGGTAAAGTCCCTTTTGCCATGTCAAACAACATAATTACAGACTCTGAAAATTAGGACTTGGACATCTTTGCAAGGCCATTATTCAGCCTCCCACAGGGATCATTAAGCCTTAGTTTGGACTCATGACTCTGCTTGAGTTCAGAAAAATTTCACCTTCCTTGATATTCTTGATATTGTAAAAGATGGAAACTTGACGCAAATACAGCTAAAACCAAAATCAGTCCAAAATTTAAAACTTCATTTAAAATACTCTGTGATTGGAAATGATTTCAGCAATAATTTAATCAAACTAAGCATTGAGAAATCCTCAGAAAATTTAAATGTATTTCCAAAGAGTGCAAAGATGTCATTTTCTAATATTAAATCAATTTTTTGAAATCATAGGAATTAAATAGTATTTAAACAAACATCATTACATACCTAAAATATGTGGAAAAGGGATATAGGTCTCACTCATTTTTTAATCTCTTAAAGCCAGAAGGTAGAATATGTATAATCATAAAAAAAAACTTAGTATTTGAGAAATGGTAAAGACGTATCTATTCATAATAGTAGTTTACTTATTATGTAACATTTAATTTTATCTTCAGATGACTGTGAAATAAATAATAAGAAAATGTATGGTTGATCCTTGAACAATACAGGGATTAGAGCACTGAAAGTTTCACTGACCTGGGCAGTGAAAAATCAGTGTATACATGTTTACTCCCCAAAAATGTAACTACTAATAGCCTACTACTGACTGGAAACCTTACCAATAACATTAACAGTTGATTAACACATAAAAAGACTAGCATCTACATGTATTGGATGCATTAATGACATACATTTTTCTTTATGTTTTTATATTTCTATGCTACACGGTTTATCTGTAAGATTTTTCGAATTGTTGCAAATTTCTAAAAAAAATTTCTAATATATTTATTGAAAAAAATCCACATATAAGTAGACCCACGCAATTCAAACCCATGTCGCTCAAGGGTCAACTGTGCTCTTTTCAAAAAGAGTTTATTTAACAACTATTAATAAATAGTCTCTTGGAATCGTGGCTTTTTTACATGAACCATTCTAATAACACAGTTAGTGAAAAGCATCATTATGCTAGCTATTATAAACCAAAACCTATGTCCAAAATAAAAGTATAACAATGCCCCTTAAAAGTTCATGGTGACCTAATTCTCTACTTACAATTCAAAATCATTGAAGAAAAGAAAAAAAGGATAACTGATCCCATAACAGTGAACTACATTACAACACAAACATTTTATTAGGAAGTTTTCTGGCTAGGCACAATAACTCATGCCTATAATCCCAGCAATTCGGAAGGCTGAAGTGGGAAGGTTGCTTGAGGCCAGGAGTTCGAAACCAGCCTGATCAACATAGTGAGACCCCGTCTCCAGAAAAAAATTAAAAAAAATAAAACTTAGCTAAGTGTGGTGGTGCACACCTATAGTCCCAGCTTTTTGGGATATGGGGCTGATATGGGAGGATCACTGGAACTCAGGAGTTTGAAGTTGCAGTGAGCTATGATCACACCACTGCACTCCAGCCCAGGTGGCATAGCTCACTGTGTCTCTTAAATAAAAAGAGACCTTGTCGCTTAAAAAAATTATTATGATTTCTCAGCAATATATATATGCATAATATTGAAAGGAAAACTCAAAATCTGAGGAAACATTATTGTTTTAGGATGGGATGCCATAATAAAGTACCAGAGACTGGCTGACTTCTAAACAAAAGAAATGTATTTGTCATCATTCTTGAGGCTGGAAGTCCAAGGTGAGGGTGCCAGCACAGTCAGGTTCTGGTGATGGCTCTCTTCTAGTTGGTGACTGCCAACTTCTCATTGTACCCACACTTGGCAGAAAGAAAATAAGAGGCCTCTTTGGGATCTCTTTTTTCAGGTCATTAATCCCATTCATGAGCACTCCATCCTCATGAGCTAACTACCTTCCAAACGCTCCACCTCTTAATATGATCACATTGGAGGTTAATATATCAACACATAAATCTGGAATGGGCAGGACACAAATATTAAGTCCATAACATTTATTATAAATATAATTCTTAAGGTATAGCTGTAGACTATATTTCGGGCATAATACTTATTGCTTGAAATAAGCATAAGGTAATATTGACCTTAACTAGACTAATTCATGTTCCTCAGTGGCTGCAGCTGTGCTACCAGAGAGGCAGTGAAGAACACTGTGCTTCCTCAAATCTGGCAACTAAAACAGTTGACAAAATCTAGCATTCAAGGACATTTTGTAGATATATGATCGCCTTTGGATTGTTCTGAACCAATAAGCCCATGAACAGATGGCATTAGTCATGAATGTAATGTTTTTATTGCTAAAGAATAAAATACTTATCTGACTTTGCTCACGTTTCTAAAAGAACATTCCCTCCTCCATTTTCTCTAGACTAATATTCAGAATTTCAAGGAAAAAAAAAAACGAAACATCACATCACTACTGAAAATGAGCATTGCATATCCCTTTAAACTATCAATTATTCTGTGATGTAGTTACATGTGTTTCTGAAAAATGATTTTACAAATCTCTATGAGTGGAAAAAATAACTTTTGAAACCCTTGAATGATTACTGGCAGGTGGCAGGTGGCGTGTGTAACAGAGAAGTTAGAAGTTTTTTGCATGCTTTCTGGTTTAGAGTAGACAAGTCTATCTCAGACTTGCAAATCTCATGGGCCAATTTAGAAAATCTCTTAGAAGATAAACTTTGCTGTCTTGTACGGCGTGTCACTAGATGCTAGGCTATACCTTGCATATCAATGTTGCCGTGGTTGATGCAATGTGTCCTGCTAGGCTAGAAAAAATGAAGAGCCCTACGTTGACAAGAGACATTGGCAGAGCAGAGCTGAAAGCAGAGGTGCTGATCTCCTTTAGTTCAAGTGCTATCATCATCTCTAGGAATTAACTTTACTCTTTTGGGTCTCAGACTTCAGAGGAATAACTACAAACAAAACTATTAATGCATGTTCAAGAAACTAATCAAATGCAGAATGGTATAAAGGAGGCTTGCAGCTACATAAGAGATTTATTTTACATTAGTAAGAGGGACCTTACTAATGCTGAAACTGAAGATTCATACTTCACATATATGCTTCTTCTGATTCATTTTTCTATTGTTCCTATTCCTCCTAATATGTCCTATAGGTAGCATGAAGACTAGTGCATAATTACTTGTTTTATTCTGTTTACTGATGACTTCACTCTCAGAAGGCATAAACAATGTTATCTTTGACTACATCCATAAAAATGGTCCATTCGTAGAACTATAATAAGAAATAAAATAGCACAAAACAAAATAAAAATAGTATTCCTTTATTCCCATCTATTATAAAACTTTTAGACAAGAATTTTCAGAATCTGACCAGTATGAATAATTTGCAGATTAAGTTTTAGGCTCTATGAAATTTGTATTTTAAAAAACGTTTATTATTTACCTTAAGAAAAATTTAAATAAAAATCCCTGTGACTGCAATTCTTAACAAACACAAACATGAATGATTAATTATTTCATGCAATGTTTTATATTCTTTTATTTATTTGTTTGTTTTTTGAGACGGAGTCTCACTATGTCGCCCAGGTTGGAGTGCAGTGGTGTGATCTTGGCTCACTGCAAGTTCCGCCTCCCGGGTTCACGTCATTCTCCTGCCTCAGTCTCTGGGACTCTCCTGCCTCAGTCCCAGAGTAGCTGGGACTACAGATGCCCACCCCCATGCCTGGCTAATTTTTTGTATTTTTAGTAGAGACAGGGTTTCACCATGTTAGACATGATGGTCTCAATCTCCTGCAATGTTTTATATTCTTAATGCCAATAAATTACAGTTATGTAATTATAAATTGTATGTTCTTGAGATCAGAGTAGCTAAAACCATCTTAAAACAAAATGTGCTTTTATAGTTTTAAAACTTAATTGTCTGTTGGTTGAAGAGTCATCATAAGTTATTCAAATGTGTGTGTATATATATATGACAATTAAATACATTATGAAGATTACATTTTAACTAGAAATTAGAAAATACAATCCTATTCATGTATTTGTGCCCATATATATTTTCAACAAAGCTAATCATTTAAATAATTA
Source organism: Homo sapiens (assembly GCF_000001405.40). Taxonomy (NCBI): domain Eukaryota; kingdom Metazoa; phylum Chordata; class Mammalia; order Primates; family Hominidae; genus Homo; species Homo sapiens. The sequence goes on along the minus strand of NC_000004.12, from coordinate 130,360,394 downwards.
TGACATCACTCATTACAAAACCATGTTTTTTTCTGATTATTTCATATTAATATCAATATGATGTTAATTCTTAAGATAAAGGCATACGTCATTTTTTTCTAATAAATGTTACAACCAGGTATCTCTCATTCCCTGTCTAACAGAGATCCAAATTTGACTTCTTCATTCTCTTCCATATTCCCATAATCAACTCCTTTTTTATATTTTTCAAAGATTGTTAGTTCATAATAAGTGGATAAGAATGTAGATTTTGTTTATGCTAAAGCTATGCATTAAGTGATTACAGAAGAAACTTGAACAGCATTTTAATATATATCTAAAATATTAAAGGACATTATTATTCTGTATACAATTTATTTTCCACAGAGAAATAATGTGCAGCATTCAGAAAGGCTAAACATTGTAGAAAAGAAACACGAATTCTAGATAAAAGTACCTAAGAAAGATTAATTTAACATGCACAGAATTTCCCAATTAAAACTTTCACATTAGCATTGCATTTTAAACAGTTAATCTCCTAATGAGACATCCCCAGCAATGAGGAGAGAGTTGCAGGACTGAATGTGGCCCTGAGGCCTGCATCTGGAAAAGGCTACATTTTGGTAATTTTTAAACTATTTTCGTTCATTTGGGAAGGAAAGTACTACACTGCCACCTTCTGACAGTGACTTTCTACTTAATGAGAAAAATTTCAGGCCTAAATTGGGGTATATATTACTTATACGCCTTTAAAGTACAAAATATTAGAATATTTTGGCTTCTTTCTTTAAAAAGTTTATCATCTGTACTATATGACACATACAAAATAAAATAGCATATATGAAACTAAGCATGAACCTATCATCCAAATTAAGAATTAAACAATATCAACAATGTCGAAGCTGCCTAAATGCACCTCTCCAATCCTGAATATGTTTAAGTTCTAACTCCGAAAATGTGGAGATTTTTGGTTTGTTGGTTTTTTGTTTGTATTTTTACTGATACCATTAGAGTGACCATTCATGTCATGTTTTTTGACTTGCTGCCGTAGCATTTCCTCAGTTCCCTGTTTCCTCTGCCCTATCTAGCACATATGTGGTTGAAAATGCCTGCTGTGTTGTCACAGAAAGATTACCTTTCTCCTTTATCTTTTACTGTGTTGGGAGGAGGGGGTGGTGGAATTGGTACATTTATTTAACCAACATTTACTGGAAAACTACTGTGTGTCCAATAATACCAAATATAATGGATCTAATGGAGAACAAGATGAAATCATTGAGTGCCTACCAGAAGTTTTATTTTAAAAATTTTAGGGAAGAAAACAAACAATTAAAATCTAGTTGGATTAGTAACACAGTTAAAAGTAATGAAAAGTTTTCTTTCTAAATATGGTTGATTTTCAAGAACCTAAAGGTACTGAAGATACTGAGAGAAGCTCTGGAGAGCAGAGAATCTTAATTAAATAATGGATTCGCTCAGGACACTGTCATTGAGTCAGTAATATGATTGAACTGACTGAAGATTTTAAATTCAAATATATTGTAAAGTTTTTTTTCACAGTTCACTTAGGTAATAGATTTCATATAAAACACAATACTATTCCTCTAGTAGAGCTGGCAAATGTTATTGGATATAAGATTCATAAAAAATAAATACCTAGAATGAATATAGATAAAAATGGTATCAGATTCCTTTAATAAGAAAAGAGAAAATTTAAAGGTAGAGATTTTAAAAAGTTTGCTTATATAAATGTCCAGAGTAAAAACTGTGGCTTCTTATTGTTTCTCATAATTTTTCTTCAAATTTTAAAGTAAAACAAATCAGATTGTAAGCTCCTTTACATAATAAAAATATTTCCAGACTGGGCGCGGTGGCTTACACCTGTAATCTCAGAACTTTGGGAGGCCAAGGAGGGTGGATCGCGAGGTCAGGAGTTCAAGACCATCCTAGTGAATATAGTGAAACCCCATCTCTACTAAAAATACAAAAATTAGCCAAGCATGGTGGTGGGAACCTGTAGTCCCAGCTACTCGAGAGGCTGAGGCAGGAGAATCACTTGAACCTGGGAGGCAGAGGTTGCAGTGAGCTGAGATTGCACCACTGCACTCCAGCCTGGGCGACAGAGCCAGACTCGCGAGACTTTGTCTTAAAAAAACAACAACAACAATATTTTTCAGTTTTTCATAGAACATTAATTGACACTAATGTTAATTGAAATAACTTATTTTCAGTCTTAGAATTGCTAAGAAATACTAAACCATATTTAAAAACATTAGATCTAACTGATGGACATAAAATTAATGTAGTAAAGAAAATAAGTGTCTGCAAGTTCAGTAGTAACATGGGTTAAGTTTGGAAAATGACCAGAGATCTTAGTTTTATGCTCTTCTAGCTCTACATAATAATTCTTAAAATTATATACAGTTATGTTATGATGTTTTATTTATTGTCAAGTAAAAATGACAAATCAACAATAATTTATATAGGATTCAATAAAAATGAAAAATGTCTCATCCTAGTTCATTATAAGGTAATAGAAAGTAAAGTATCTAATAGTTTGTGAAGCCACCTTATATCTTTGTACCTTGGATCAGGCCAATCTTACCAGAGCTCCTCCACTGTGTTTTTCTGGTTAGTCCTGGTTAGTTACTAAGAAAAATTTTGCCTTTCTTTACATGTAAACAATTTGTTCATTTAAGTATCTCTAAGAAGCAGAGCCTTATACTGTTTATAGTATTCAACAATCCTGGATTTAGAGCATATAAATATCAAGTGGTTTTTCCAAAGGAATTACTCTCAGATTGGGATCTTACCTGGATATTATCTTCATGAAATCCACTGCCTAAAAAATAGTTGGATCTGTCTAATTTAAGCACATTCAGAGTTATTTTTAATTGTTTAAAGAATGAGATTAAATTATATCTTAAACAAATATAATTGTTCCATTCTATTATTAAATATTTTCCTGTTTAGTTTTTATGCATTTAATCTTTATAAAACATTATGTGATTTGCTTTATCTGCTTAAATTCCTTTTATTATTGGCATTCATCTTCAGTCTTCTAAAAGTCTAATTCTCTAATTTACAATTAAATTCTATTTCTCCTCCTATGATGTTTTTAGTTCCTCCTTACTACATGTCATCTGTTTCATTTCTCTGTACCTTAATGGAATTTATAAAAGCATATCATTTTTGAAGACTAGACCAGGCATACTCAAGGCATTTATATTTGAACCATTTAGTGCTTGAAATATTTTTCAGGGAAGATAATAGCAGGTATTGCTTCTTCCAGACAATTAGTAATCTCTACTTGAAAGACAAGTCTGCACCAAGGTGCATACTGCCAGTTTACTGATTGTGATGTTTGGACAGATTACTGACAGGGCAACAAACAGTCTATGCACTCAGACATCGGAGAGAAAATGAGAGCATGATTTGCTCTGTGTGGATACATGATTGTTAGTTCCTGTGTTTACAAATATATAATTTATTACAGAGAAGTTGTCTGGAGTAAAATTTTAATAAACTGGCTTGAGGAAGAAAATTTTTCCGATTCTTGATCTAGGCCATTTATAAGAAGAATGAAATAAAAGCAACTTTGAAGTATTATCAAGTCCCTCATTGTCCTTTTAGTCAAACAGGAATGGCACTGCACAAGGTTAAATTATGCATCCAAACACATCATGAGTTTTGTTTTTACTGTGAATTAACTTGCAAGTGCCTTGCCTTGCAATATTAGAAGTGTTTTCCTTTAAGTCCTAAAGGTTTTTCAATCTTCAATAGTTTCTTATTAAAATGCAAATAGTCTAAGATTGGAAAGCCCTTTACTCAAAAGTATTTTAACACTTTAAGAAGCAGGAGGGCGCAGTGACCTCTAACCAGAAGTCACTGATAGCTGTTGAAGAAGAAAAGACAAACAGGATAAGGCCAGGGCAACTACCCGGAATCTTCAATGTTGCTTCTCTACAGCTTAAATATGTTGTATATTTGATGTATTTAATTATGTATCTTTTGTCTATCTTTTATTTATTACATGGAGGTGAAGATTTTTTCTCTCATTTCCACAAGGTTCAGGAAGGAGCAAAATCAAATCAATCAGATTTAACTCCCTGACACTCTGAGACAGAAATGACAGGCCTCCTCCTCAGACATGCTACAGACCAATTGTTCTGGTATAGTGTCCATAGATGAATAAAATCTTATTTCATTTTCAAAAAAAAATTATTCAATGATGTATTGATTTACTAAAAACACAGGATTAAGAAATGCTAAATGCTTCTTTATATATGAGTATATTTACAGTTTGTTTCCATTTCATAGAATTGTATTTCAGTCAATGTACCTGTTGAGGACTATATTTATTTTAAGTTTATTATCAAAGTTTGGAGAATTTATGAACTGAAACTATGATACGGTTTTGGAAAATATTTCCTATTCATCATAATATGGCAACTTTGTACATGTAACTGGTACTATTTTGTGACATCTGAATGTAAAACAAGAATTATAAAAATTATGTTTGAAACTTTAATAATCTATTTGCTTGTGTCTATGATATACAGTTCGTGAATAACTCTTTAAATAAATTAATGAATGAGCTAATGAATCCTGAGTTATGCTGGAGAATTGAAATATAATCTATATATTTTAAGAGTTTTGATATAGAAGTAACAAATCAAACTGTCAAAAGCACATCATTTTTGGCTCACAACTTTAAGATGAGGCAGAAAAATGGTCAATTTTTGCTTGATGCAGGAATCTACTTATTTTTGCAAAGACTCTATTTCGCCCCAAGCTTTCCTCTTGGTAACAACATTAGTTGCATACCACATTTTGGGAAGGCATTTTCTTTCCCATCTTTTCGAGAAAACCTGTCATCATGTTTTATTGATTCAAACAGACTCAAATGCCCATTTTTGAAAGTATTATTTTCTCCAGGAATATGTCATGTGTTGGCTGCAGTTGGCATAGGTTACCTGAGCTTATCACTGTGGCAAGAGGGAGGGGGTACAGGGAGGGGATGGGGTTTCTCTCATTGAGGTTAAAGTGAGAATCCACAAATATTGCTGATAAATATGGTGAAAGGGATGTTAAGAAGACAACTAGATTGTCACAAACAACCTACCCAAAATATCTCCTCATTGCTTTTGTTAATATTACATAATTTTTTTAATAAAAAATGGTTTATAAGAAGAATCAAGGAAACCTGATTCATATTAGTGTAATGGCACATAGAGAAGGAAGTGGTGCTAATATACACACACACACACACACACACACACATATATACACACAAAAGAAACCTGAAGAGTGTAATATACCTACATATACCTATAATTTCAGGCATATATGCATATCTTAAACTTTGATATTTAGATAAAAAGCCTTATATTAATATTAATCAGGGTGTCCAAAAATACTGTTTTTAACTTTTGATTTATATGTTTTTGTACAATTTCATAGCATACCACCCATATATCCATACAAAGCAAATTTTTCTGTCAGTGTCTTCTTTGAAATAGCAACAACTCTTATTCTTGAAAAATTATTATTCTTATTCTTGAACAACACTTTGGCAGTAAAAATACATTATTTATTATTTCAAATGAGCATTTACATTAAACATTTGAAAATGTACTAAAGATATGTGCCTAAATCTCATCTTGTAAGGTGTATATGTTTTCCATAATATAGTACAGCAAATATTTTCTGTAAAAACTAAGAGAATAAGTATTTTCCACGGAATGTGCTGCGTAGTCACTGCTGAAACTACTTAATTCTGATAGTATAGCATAAAAGTAGCAAAACTAAGTTGCAAATGAATGAATTTACTTTTGTTTCAATAAAACTATTTACAAAAATAAGCTGCAGGGCAGGTTTGTAGGTTAGTACGTGGTAGTTTGCCTACCCTTGTTGTATGAAGTCATTACTTTTTTCAAATTAAAAAATTCTTTTTAGGTGCAATGCTCATTCATTTTTAAAGTAATACATATTTTGAGGTCAGTGTCTAATAATAAATTTATTATATCTATTGATGATTAGGAATATAATCTATAGGCATCAACCTAAGAGACACATAAACTTATTCTTGTAAATATTCATAGCCTCATCTAATTTTGTGGAGATAAACTTTCCCCTTGCTTTGTGAATGCAGAGATAGATTTTCTCATAAACTACACTTATTTTTTCTTAATAAGAAATGTGTGTATTACGGGTTAGTAAAGAATCTTACTCATTGTTATCACTGAATAATCAAATATATAGCAGAGCCTAAGTAATTTGTGAAAAACAGGAAATTTTGAGTAAAATTTTATCTTCACATATAATACATGCAGAAACACAATAATCTGGGTTGACTAACAGTACAGTACCATCAAAAACAATCTCTCTGTTAAGCAAAGAAGTGACTTGGTAAAAATTAGAATTACAGATGTTTTATGGTTATTATTTTATTAACAATAATTAATGTACGGTAAAAGTAATTTTAAAAAACTTAATTGGGAAAATAAATGCTTAATAAAAATTGATACTTCATATTTTGTCTGAATTATAATAAATAGATACTTTTACTTATAATATGCCAGACATAGTACTAAGTATCTTAACATATTTTGACTCAATTAATCTTTTAAACAACCCTATAAGGTAGATATTATTACCACTTTCATTTTACAGATGAGGAAACTGAGGAACAAAAACTTAAAGAAAGCACTACTCAGGGACATATGGCTATTAAGTAGCGGCACCAAGGTTTACATCCCAGGCATTCTTCTAAAAAATTTTTACTGATAATGTAATTTTCCTACGTATTTATGAGATGCATGTGATATTCTTTTACATGAATAGAATGTGTAATGATTATGTCAGAGTATTTAGGGTATGCGTCACCTTGAGTATTTATCATTGCTATGCGTTAGGAACCTTTCAAGTTCTCTCCTATTTATTTTGAAGTATATAATGCATTGTTGTTCAAAGACAGTTAACATCCCAGGCATTCTGAATGCAGAATATGGCATTGAAACCTTTTTGTACGGGGGTTTTTGTTGTTGTTGTTTTTATTTTTAAGGAGACCCAAGTTTTTGCTCTCTTCCCAACACAGTCTCCCAAATAGCTAGAACTACAGATACGTGTCACTACGCTTGCTTAAGTTTTTAAATTTTTGCAGAGACGGGGGCTTGCTATGTTGCCCAGGCTGGTCTCAAACTCCTGGCCTCAAGTGATCCTCCTGCCTTCGCCTCCCAAAACTCTATATTATAGGCATGAGCCACCACACCTGGCCTATTTTTGCTTTTTATGTTTGTTTTTAATTACTAATTTATAACATTTTGTATTAATAATCAATAACATGAATAATCATTAAATAGATATGTGGAAGTCTTATTTCCCTAGCATTTGAAATGAAAGAGATGTTGGTTTTAAACATTTTTTCTCCACATTTGTGATGAATATCTAGATTTTTAAAACCTTTACTTTTATTTCATTAATTAAGCACTACATAATATACCACATGCTATTAAGACACTGCATAATCTTCTAGCAGGCCAGGTGAGCACAACTAAGTTTTTTTTCTTCTTTCATCAATGAGTAAAATGCTTCCTTAGTCAATCCTCTCCAAACCCTTCAATATACGGTAATGATTAAATATAAAGATCAAGCTGAGTCTCTCCATCAAACACCACCCGATAGTACTAAATAGCTCAACATATTTTAACTCACTTAATCTTTTAAATAGCCCTATAATGTAGAGACTACTGTCCCCCTCATTTTACAGATGAGGAAACTGATGAGCAACCAGCTTTAGAAAGCACTCACGGACATACGGCTATTATGCAGCAATATTATAGACAGGAAAAATGGGCAACCCTTTTCTCTTTATCCCCATTAGTAAAACTGTGGATGTGCACAGTGGCCACTCCAGTGATAAGCAAACACCAGACTATGACAGTGATTCCAGTGACAATATCCAACTATACTGTGACAAAGTTACCTAGCTAGACATTTTTTCTAATCACCCTGAATTTCAAAGCATTATTCATCAGAGTTCAAATAATACCACATTAAAATCAAAGGGGCATTCAAATCAAAATTTTAACAGGTGAGAAAAGTATAGTATAGAAGTAGATGTCAAACAGGAATTTAAGCTTTTAATTATGTGAGTTCACTAAATTAAGAAACTCTAGAAAACTATAATTTCAGGAAATGATATTCTGGGATGAATCTATAGTCTTGTTTAGAAGTTAAAGAAGTTTGATGATGGGTATGTTTGAATTTCTGAGCTGCTTCTTTGATCCAAAAATTCAAACTGGGTCTCTAAGATACTGTATTTCTATTGTTCAATACATTGTGAAGAAATATTTGAAACTATGAAGACGTTTCTTTTCTGAAAATAGGGAAGACCACAGAAAAATTGAGCTATAAAAATGTTGGGCCAGGCGCAATGGCTCATGCCTGTAATCCCGGCACTTTGGAAGGCTGAGACAGGCAGATCACCTGAGGTCAGGAGTTCGAGACCAGACTGGCCAACATGGTGAAAACCTGTCTCTATGAAAGATACAAAAAAATTAGCCGGGTGTGTTTGTATACACCTGTAATCACAGCTACTTGGGAGGCTGAGGCAGGAGAATTGCTGGAACCCAGGAGGTGGAGGTTGTAGTGAGCTGAGATTGTGCCACTGCACCCCTAGCCTGAGTGACAGAGGGAGACACTGTCTCAAAAAAAAAAAGAAAAAAAAGTTATAAAGTTGGAAGTCCACAGAGTCTGAGGCATGTGATTGTTTAAAAGACTCTACAGTATCTGTCACTGAGAATTACCCATTGATCCCAAAGTATAAGAAGTGTCTTCTGGTGTTTTTATAGAAAACTTGATTGATGTACAAAATAACAACTGCAACAACAAACATGTGGCAGGGTGTAGGATGATAAGATTTGGAGCAGGGATATTTAGAGTTCAACAAATCTGGCCTGCGACGCCTTACTTTCCTAGCTGCCTTTGCAGTTAGGTAGGACTCATGTGAGATGGGTTCTGGATGCCCAAAACATAAGTCATGTATTTTGTTCCTGGCCAAAAGAAATTAAGAGCTGGTGGGCAAACCCCATCTCATTCTTACAGTTCCACAGAAATTCAGAAGCCGGATATTCCAGCTGATGCACCTGATGAAGGACCACATCTGACTTTTTGAATGTATAAATGCATTAAGCTGAAAAGGTTTCACGACTTGTTTACTGTGCCTACTTATGTTAGTTACTCTGACTAACAGAGGGTTCATATGATAGACTGATAACCATTTGTAAGAAATTGTCCATCTAGAAGAGAATTTTTCCAGGTAACAATCTAAGAGGGTTACGAAGAGCACTTTGAAGAAGTAGACACTCCTGAATTGAGACAGTGCAGCAGGGTTTCCAGTAAAGGCTTACTGCACAAACGTAAATTGTCTTACTTTTCCTATGAGAGAGGAAACAGAGAGAAAAACCACATGGGGATATGAAATAATTGAGAGGCCAGACATTAGATAACGGTATGTTTCCAGCTCCTGTATCTCATCTCCAACCAGCAGGTTGTCACGGAGAAAAGTAGGGGTTGGACTAGAGTCCTGCCAGTCATCCAACTGCCCCTACAATTTAAATCCAGAATGCCAATACCTGTTACATGCTGTGACTTCCCTGGAAACTCTCCTTTGGCATTTTGAAGACCCCATTTCTTGGATGGAACGAATTCATTAACAAACTCTAGATTGGCCAGGATTTTGATGTAACTTGATACGTTTTTGTTTCAGATTTAGTAAGAAGCAGATCCAGTGGCCAGGAGAATCCCGTTCTCTCACAGGAAAAGTAACAGGGAAGATAATTACTGATGCTGGTGTTTTCACCATGACCTCACTTTTTTTCTTTCTTTTTTTTTTTTTCTTTGATGAGCTCATGTTTTCTAAAAGTGACTTTGATAGGCATAGCCTGGCCAACATGAACATACAAAAGGAAAAAATGGGTAATATGAAACGGAACTTAAAAGACATGGAAGAATAGAGAATGTCTAGCATATGTTTATTCTGAGTGTCAGAAGGAGAAAACAGAGGAAAGAGGGCAGAGGATGTTCATAAAGAAAGACACTAGTCCTTAGGTTCAAATGGCCTGATAAACTCAAGGCAGTGTCAAAAAGAAAGAAAAGAGAAAAAGAAGGAAGATAGGAGGGAAGAAAGCAAGGGAGGAAGGAAAAAGGAAGGAGGGAGGGAGGGAAGGAAGGAAGAAGGAAGGAAAGAAGGAAGGAAGGAGGGAGGGAGGGAGGGAAGGAAGGAAGGAAGGAAGGAAGGAAAGAAGGAAAAAGATCCCAAACTAGGTCCTTTATTAGTAAAACTGCAGATGGGAGAGAGTCGTAGAATATGTAGTTAAGATGGCAGTGGTGGCCAGTCTTGCCGGCCACTGCAAAGATGCCGGCTGCAGTCTGGAGACGCAGACAGGGCTGTGCACTCCATGGAGCCAGCAGGAGCACCGCCCCTTCTGAGTTTATACGGTGGGAGCCTCAGGCTCCCCAGGCAAAGCCACAGCCTCCCAGCCATGGCTGTGGAACTGGACATCCCTGTGTAGACCCAGGGATCTATACACTCTCGGGAGCCAAGAAGCCTCTCTGCCCCAGAGAAGCACAGGCTCAGAAGTGCTTGCTCCTACTGCCTGGCCTCTCCCCACTCCTGGTGCCCCCTCCAATTTCTGAGCAAAGTTGAGGCCGAGCCTAGGCACTGTTGCAAACTGGATGGGTGTGCACACACTTGGGGCAGCACTGACACACCAGCCCCATGTTGCCTTGGCCTTTTCTGGACTTTGGGCACTGATGAGCAGTGGAGGGTAGGCCGGGGAGTGGCTTAGGGCAGCTCAGTGCAAGCCTGCAGGTGCCCCTGGGCATGAACAGCCTGCATACTGTGGGTACCATAGGCAGCAGATGGCAGGGGACAGACAGGCTGCTGGAAAGAAAGGGGTGGGTTCCCAGTGAAACACCATCTTGAGGCCAAAAATAGCCTTGGGGGCTGGGTTGCCAGTTCCATGGCCTGGAGTAAGAATTTATGGTGCTTTTTCTGAGCCCACCCATGGCCACCCATGGCCAGCCATGGACCAATCAGCTCACACTTCCTCCCATCTGAAGCTGATAAAAACTCTGGACTCAGCCAGAATCCAGGAGATGATGGGACACCCTGCCTGCAAAGAGGAACTACCTACTATGGTCTCCTTTCTGCTGACAGCTGAACACTCATCAGGACACCTTGCCTGAGGAGAGGAGCTACCCAGTGTGGGTATCATCTGAGCCATACTGTGGCTCAATAAAGCACCTCTTTTCATTGCTCACCGTCCACTTGTCCACATACCTCATTCTCCCTGGACACGGGACAAGGCCTTGGCACCCACTGAATGGCAGGGCTGAAAAAGCTATAACACAAACAGGCTGGACCATGCCCCTTGCTCACCAAGTTACTGGGCAATGAGAAAGAGAGAAGAGAGAGGGAGAGAAGAGCTTCGACCCTTTGGGAAGTCCATACCTAGGAGCTCCCTGAGCCAGTGCTGTGACACCCTCTTTGGGCTCTCTGGTTCCTGGCATCTCCAAGCTTCCAGGTGCTGCCGCATTCCCCAGTGCCAGCTGTGGAAGCTGCTTGACATACACCTAGTCCAGCTGTAGCCTTGCAGGGAGGTAGTGCCTGTGTTGGTGCCTGGAGCTACCCACCCTGCCACAGCCAGTGTGCCTGGCTGTGCACAGTGGCCAGACCCCACACTCACTTGTTCATGGGCTTGGCTTATCATTGGAGACACGGGATCCAGGCTGGTAGCGCAAGTTTAGGGCAGCCTGCCAAGCCAAGTGGGGAGAACTAGCCCGGTGGGCTGGAGAAAAACTCAGGAAAAGGCAACACCAGCCATAGAAGTTTCCAGCCGGAAAAGTGACACCCCTAAGATCCTGTAATTGTTAGACATTATTGATGGATTTCTCTTTCACAGATTTTTTTTCAAAATGTTCTTATATAATTTTTTTCAAAGTTAAAAAATCATTTAAAAAGTTAAATTGAAAACAAATGTCAATTTGGAAGTCAGGTTGATGTCTTAATATGCAACACCATTCTAACACAGCTATAAGTCTCCATGGCTTCAGCATGTACAGTTTTTCATGATTTATTTTGCCTAGTTATACTTAGAAATGACCAGAAATCTAACTTAAAAAACTATAAAAGGTTGTAAGCAGTTAAACTGTTTTTGTACAATAATAAGAAACATACCTTTCATGTTTAAGGAAAATCTATAAAAGCTTAAAAGGTTTTAGGAGTAGACCAATGCTTCATTACATCTATTTTCATTGAAATTAAATTTAAGGTTCATGTTTTATATAGATCATCTAGGTATTTGGTAAATTGAAATAAAGCATATTAAGTACATAATACTACTGTAATATTGCCATTTTTGTTTGATAATCAACACTGTCAGGATCATAATGCATATACCATAAATATGTACAAAATGACTAAATGAATAAATTATGGGTTTTATGTGCTAACAAAAAAAACAGAGATTTGAAAGAGAATAAAAACATTGATTTTTAGTAAATGTTAATTTCTAAAGCATTGCCTAACAAATTGTTTACAACTCGTTTCCACTGCTTTCTGCTAAGTCTTAATAGGAAAAATTGTTATTATTATTATTATGCTTCCATTGTTTTTGGAGAAATTCTATGAAGAGAAGAAGACAGTGAAACCTATTTCTTTTACAGTTTTTTGGGAACAAAATAAGGAAGGCAATACATACCTAAATATACACTGTTTTTTTGGTATTGATAACATTTCAGGATTCAGTAGAACCACTACTTCCTCAGAAACCACCACCCTCTTAAAAATAGTTGAAACCTTCCTACTGTAAGCACTGAGTATCTCTTTTGTAATTTCTCATTTTTTGTGTTATTACTTATTTACGTAGTCAACATCTGTCTCTGCCACATCATAAGACCTCCAGGAGGGAAGTGGTCATTGATGGTCCTACTCCCCAGCATGTCCCCAGGGCCCAACACCATTGTGCCCTCTGTGAATAGGTCTCAAATGAACAAATGTTTGACAAACAGACAAGGAACACATGAGAGAAAAAGGCAATTTTTCTTGCTACTTTTATTGATCTGTGTTTAATTTGACCAGTTCTACAAAGTTGGTATAAAATTACATTTAGGCATTTTTTACTTATAGTCCCAAAAGTAACCTTGGGGACAGGCACAGTGGCTCATACCTGTAATCCCAGCATTTTGGGAGGCCGAAGCAGGCGGATCACCTGGGGTCAGGAGTTCGAGGCCAGCCTGGCCAACATGGCAAAACGTCAACTCTGCTAAAAATATAAAAATTAGCTGGGTGTGGTGGTGCATGACTGCACTCCCAGATACTTGGGAGGCTGAGGCAGAAGGATCACTTGAACCTGGGAGATGGAGGTTGCAATGACCTGAGATCATGGCACTGCCTCCAGCCTGGGCAACAGAATAAGACTCTGTTTTAAAAAAAAAAAAAAAAAGTAACTTTGGAGATAATTTATGTCATTCAAAAATCTCCTTTGGGATTGCAATTGATATTCATTAAATGCATAAATTCATTTCCAGGTAATTAACACTTTAATAAGTTCTCCTGGATGAAGTAGTCAGTTCCTATATTTATATTTAGAATTATTTGTATTTATATATTTGTGTATATATATTTATACACATACAAAATACATATCTATTATATGTCTATAAAATAGACACTTTTTTTGAAAAGAAGCTTCACTTTTAATTCAGATTTTTAAAATTCTCTATGACCATAGTTTAAATTTTTAAAATTCTTAGTTTTCAGTTTAGTATCATTTTAAAAAAATGATAGATCATAGGTAATTTTTCAGTTGGATTCTGGTATAGATTATGGTGAGTCACTGCACAAAATTTGAATAGTATATTTTTAGATGCAAGTAGAAATGAGGAAAAAGTGTTTAGATTTATACCAAATATTAACTTTATGAATATTCCATGTCCTAGAAAACAGAGGTAGTCTCGGTTATAATAGCTAAAGCACAGAGGTATTTCTGTGCTGAGTGTATGGATAAATTACAATGGGAACCACCATTACTACCCAGTCCACACCTCTGTTTGGAGGAATTCCGGTGCAAGTTGCAAACCCTGGATCTTTCTATTGATGTTCAAAATGCATCCAGACTGAAGGAGGGGGTGAAAACATGTTGCTTTCCACTGTGCATCACCTGTAAGTTTTGCTTTTACCAAGTGTGAGATGTCAGTGTTCTCTCCAACTTGTTTGTCTGGTTTCTGCTCCTTCTCCCTTAAGATGTGTGTGGAGGCAGGAAAACAGAAGTGGAGAAGCATGAAGCATGAGGATCAGGCTCCCTCCACTCAACTGTTCAGCAGCCCAATTCCATTGATAGATAGCTACGATAAAGAGTCTTAAATATTGTTGCTTATGTATGTCAAACACGGCTACATTGTTGGTGCTAATGCAGTAGCTGCCAAGTGTTTAATGTCTATACTTATTTATATCATCCTGAAAGTATATGCATGACTTCTGAAGACTTCTGGGACAGAAAAAGATTAATTATTACTTAGACAAGAACTACATCCATTCTCCTTGCCCTACATGTTCAATTTCTGGGGTGATGTGATTACAGCCAGATGGACTGCCTTGTATATGGGCAGGTCACACCATAGGAGAGGAACCTTGAAATTCTAAATGGAGAGTTTATGAGGTTAGAGCTGCCCATTCCTCTTCTACTCCTGAGAAAGGGACAGAAACCTTTGCTTCCTAATATAAACAAATTCTTCTTTGGAAGAGAAGGGAAACAAATACTAGTATATTATCCTTTGGAATATAAGTAAATGTCTCCAGAGGGAATATAAGAGGAGCTTCTCAGAGTTTATAAACCCTGAAATATGTCTGTAGATCTTGGGTTTCTTCCCTGATTGAAATGTAAACAAATACCTCTGGATAGGTACATTTCTCCAGATGGTCTCTCGCTATCTATTCAGTAGCTTCCAAGGCTTATGCTTTGATTCTGTCCCAGTAAACTATTCAGAAAAGGCTAAGTATTCAGAAACATAACAAATTCTTTTCCTGAAAGTAATGTCCCCGTGGAAAACACCTCAATCATTTCAAAAATAATTTGGCAAACAAGGAGGCAATCACCAATGTATTTTATAATTATTTTGCCAAGAAATCTTCTTCACACATTTACAAAATAAGTGTCTCTAACCTAGTTTCTGGCTTAGTTTGGAGCCATGGTCCTCAACCTTGTTGCAATGTGATGCTACACCACATTTCATATATAATTTCATCTAAATATTTACAGAGCATTACTCAGTGCCAGACACCGTTCTAGGTGCTGGAGAAACAGCTGTGAACAAAACATAGCAAAAAGAAAAAAAATTCTGCTTTTATATCACTTGAAATATGATATGCCATAACATTTACCAATAATTTGTTTCTAATATTAGATAAAGCATGTTTCCTAAATGATTAATCATCATTTATGAAATATGCTTTATTATTAGCATGGGTTTTTGTGGTTTTGTATATTTGATATACAAGCGTGGATATCCATAAAAGGGAACTTATCTTAACTTTATATTCTAACATGTTATTGAAAAGGTAGACAGAAATGAAATAAAGCCTAGGTTGCCTGAAGAAGATATGCATCACCTGGGCATTTGTGTGCAGGCTAGAAATGTTCTGAAGGCTTCTGGTTTAGCAAGCTCAAACCTGGGATCTGGGCACACTTTTCCCTTTTCTCAGTTACTACCCTTTAAAGAATATGGGCTGGATGATTTCTAAGGACATTTTCAGCTCTAACATTTTAGTATTTTTTGGCCTAATGCTAACAATTTATTTATAAAATATCTTCATTTTTATTTTATTTTTATTTCTTCTCTGTTTAAATTTGTTCTTCAAGATCTCAAATTTCTGTTTCAATTTTAAGATTTATGATTGAATGTCTCCCCAGAGTATCATTTGGTGAACACTCAATCTGAAGCAGACATAAAGTTATTCTGTATCTTGACATTATTTTGTTTTTTGGGTTTCTTTGTAGTTTGCATGTGTTTATTATTTATATCTGTCACCACCACTTCGGCCTCATTAGAACAGGAACACTGTCTTTTTCACAGCTGTTCCACAGTGCTTAGAACAGTATGAGACACGGTAGGCACTCACTCATTTATAAGGGCAAATGACAAGATTATGAAATTTTATACATAATCACAATTCTCAAGATAATTCAAAGGAGATAATGTACATTAAAGTACTTTGTAAACCCTTCCAAAGATTTATGATTTAAAATTTTATGAATAGAGAATATAAATCTGCTTTTTTTTCCTTCTAGCTAGAGAAATATTTAGGTACAGTATAGGAAATTTACATTAGCTTTAGGCGATTATTTCAACAACTCTGATAGGGATATATTTTTACTTACTATAGAGATTGTTATTAAAATTATATATCTAGGGCAGATCATGATGGCTCACATCTGTAATCCCAGTACTTTGGGCGGCTGAAGAGGCAGGAGGAACACTTCAGCCAAGGAGTTGGAGACCAGTCTGGGCAACATGACGAGACTCTGTCTCTACAAAATATTTAAAAATTACCTGGGTCTGGTGGCATGCATCTATGGTCTCAGCTACTAGGAAGGCTGAGGTGGGCTGAGCCTGAGGGGGTTCAAAGCTGCAGTGAGCTGTGATCATGCCACTATACTCCAGCCTGGGCGACACAGCAAGACCCTGTATAAAATCTCTCTATATATGCAATTACCAACATTTACTGGAAGCTTTTGGATGCATAACACATTCTTCTTAAGTCCATCGTATCTACAAGCAATTTTATAGAAAGAGTATAATATTTTCAAATAATGTTAATTACATGTTGATAGGCCAAATTGATCTAAATGCATAAAATGGTTTCTCAGTTATCTGTTTTAAACCACCTAAATGTAGGCAGATAAATATTGTGCCTCTCCAGAAATAAAGTACATTTTCTTAGTTTTATGTGTGTCAAAAATATGTAGTATTCAAAATATAAAATGTGCAGGAGGTGTATTTTTAATAAACTTCAATTCAGTGATCCCCACTGTTATTTTAAAATTACCTAAAATTATATTAATATTTGGGGTGATGTATTTTCACCATTTATATAATTTTAATGGTAAGAAGAAAAGTCATAATCTAAAGCAGAAATAACCTGTCAATGACAGTCTATGTGTAAACAGCCACTTCTAATGGAGTTGAGGGCTCTTGCTCTACAGGTAAGATCTCTAATAGTAATTGATTTACTGAAAGTAATTGCTGTCAGGTTTTCCCGTCAGGTTTATTTTTTGTGATCAACTTCATTTAAAAGAGCTGATCGTATACAGAATACTTCCTTTGTTTCAGTACAACTTGAGTAGGTATAGTTTCCAAAGTTTGCCGAAAGTGAATTAAGTGGGCTGCTTTTCTTGGTAGAAAAGTAATCAAAGCAGAAATAACGAGAGTAAGAAATCTGTCTTTGCTTCAGTGCAAAGTTATGTGAAATGTACTTTGTAGTTCTGGGTCCTACTGAAAGCCAGTAGGAAAAAAATGATATAATAACGAATATTTGTGAAAAATGTTAAAGGACACTTTAACATTTGATTCAGTGCTAAACTTTATGAGTATAAATAAGAAAATGCAATATTTTAAAAGAAGTAAAGGTAGAGTGGGAAAAAGATAAGTGGCACTTATAAAAGCATCCCCAAAGTTTGCCTTAGAAATCCAAAGAGCTCAAGCAAATGCTGCCAGCAAAGTGTCAGAATGGCCCAGCACAAAGAGGTGCAAATCCAGGAAATTAGGTTTTCTCTCTTTTCTGAGGTCTGGAGTCAGTAATTGTGCTCAGTAAAATGGAAGAGACCACAATATTCTGGTTTAATCATCTTTCCCTTGAATAAGATGAGTCACAGATTTGTACCTGAAATCCTCCACATCCAAATGTGATATAGATAAAAACTGGCACTCCCATCTGCCTGCCATCAGTTTGAACCCACTTTTAAGAAATAATTCAAATCATTTTGATAAAAATGAGAGTAGAACTTGCCTAAATGCCCCCACAGTGGGGGAAAGACACATCTAAAATCACAATAGGGACACTTATTTTAAGACTCATGGCTACCTATTTAGGTAGAAAGAAAAATTATATGCTGTAGGAATTATAGCATAAAAAGAAAAGCTAAAATAAATTTGTTTTTTCTGTGCCATATAATATTGCATACCATCCGTGTGATGCAATGAGGATCATAGAAGTGGAACATGAATTTAAAAGTTTCAATTTTTAAATTGTAAAGGCCCAGAAGAAAAAAAATAGGTTAAATTATTTTTATTTTAAACTGCCATTCAATGTGTATATTACATACATGCACACACACACGCACACACTAAAATTATCAGATAAGAAATTATAATATTAGATATATAGCTAGATCAATGTTTAATCCCTCATTAATACACATACACAATCAGGAATTAAGCATTGATCTAGCTATATAGCTAATATTATAATTCCTCATCAAATGATTTTAGTAACATAAACCTCCAGTTCTATAGCATGCTTTTTAAAAACAAGGCTTCACATACTCCTTTCAGTTCATCTGAGAGATTGCTGAAGATTACATGCATATGCTTGAATTCATAGCCTGCTCGGTGGTTACTGGATAATAAAGCTCCCATGGCCATTTGTACCATGTTAAGGTGATACATCCTTTAAAACAATAGCCCTGACTCTACAGCCCTCTCCCTGTATGAGGCAGAAGGACCAGGCAACTGCACAGCTGTAGAAAGTGCATCTATCTATTAGCCTGTATTAAGAAAGCACATGCCTTTCCAATGAGGAGAAAAGAGGCAGCAAGTTTGGAGAGCCGTAGGAAAAGTTACAATGCAACATTCCAGGTCAATGCTTTTTCTCTCACTGCTAGTCACTACTCTATCATGGCAGGAGCATGGCTCTACTGCACTTCAAAATCTTAGTCACAATAGTATCTGTCAAATGGGAAAGAAGATAAAATGAAATTTTCTCCTTCCCTTCTTGAGAAAACGATCTGTCGTAGACCAAGAACATAGCAACCAGGCTCATAAGAAAACAGTTAATAGCTACATTTCACAAAATGTAACACTATGCCCCAAAAACAGAATTAAACAGTCTACAGACATTATGTAAATTATTCCTTAGGCTAGCCATATGGGATATATATTACTTTATTTGACTGATTCATGGAATGACTTTTTTGACATTTTAATATCTTAAAATTTGGGGTGTATCTTAAAATTTATGTAATGTCATAGTTTGATCATTATTTTTCTTAGTGGTAAAACATATGCTTAATTATTACGTTTGATGAAAGAGTATTTTCCCATTTTTAAGCCCCAGGAAATGGAGCCACAGAGGCTTAATCACTCTCACATAGACAGCTTCAAGTCCAGGACTCTACAACTGTAAACTTATTTTTTAACTAATATAATATACATCTACCCTATTCCCAAATCTCTTGAAAGCAAGCCCACAGCACAGACTCTTATCCCATTATATAAATGATGGTCCAAAATCAGAGACATTAGAAACATTTGCAGGGAATCAACATGAGAGAGATTCTTGATTGCTGGTTTTCAAGATGGAGGAGGTCATGTGTCAGGAGTCTAGTCAGCTTCTATCTGCTAAAAGTGCTCCAGGCTGACAACCCTCAAGGAAATGAGAAACTCAGCCTTAAAACTACAAGGAAATGAATAATAAAATAAAGGTTGTGAATATTAACACCCCCAATAACCCTGTAAGCAGATTCTTTCCTAGAGCTTCCAGTAGAATGCAGCCTGGCCAAGGACACACTGAGTATGAGAACCTAGTATGAATCTCTGATTAGAATCTGTGCTTCAGAACTGTGAGCTAATAAATGGGCATTTCTAATTAAGCTACTAAGTTTGTGGTAATTTATTACACAGCAATAGAAAACTAATACAAATTTTGGTAAGAGAAAGAGATAAGGGGACAAGGGGAATGAATGATAGGAAGTTTTTTAAATGTCATAGGCAATCCATGACAAGGCACTGTTTTTCCTATTATTGCAAACTAAATACTGCTGAGATATATGATCACCTCGATATGTGGTAAAAAATGGTGGTGTATTTCACATCATCTCAAC
The DNA here is from genome assembly GCF_000001405.40 of Homo sapiens. Lineage (NCBI taxonomy): Eukaryota > Metazoa > Chordata > Mammalia > Primates > Hominidae > Homo > Homo sapiens. The sequence continues at coordinate 130,340,250 of NC_000004.12, read as the reverse complement.
AGTAAGATGAAAAGCTTTGTCAATGTGACCCTACACTTCATTCAATATTTATCTTGGGAAAATAGGGCTTTTTTTGTTGACGATGGACTCAGATTTCTACAGCTTGGAGTGATGAGTAGTTTGTATAGGCCTTAAATCAATAACAAGAGCTTCATATGCTGAGTATATAATATGCATCAATTATCATACCATATTCTTTATATAGATACACTCAATAACTCTTCTACACAATGGTATGGCATATCTATTATTATTTTATTTTGCAAAAGAGAAAATATGGTCGAAGAGTGTGGACAATTTACTATTTAATTTTTAAAGCCATGATCTTTTCTCTGTGCTACACTCTCAATCATGGTCTGTCTTGTTGTCATACTGGTTTTGTGTCTCTCAAACATAAGTATGTAACTTGTATTGAAAACAAAAGCATAAGTAATGATATTTTGATGTAGTCCCTCTTGATAATATGAATATTGAATGTGGGGGAAATAATCAAATGAGTGTTTTTTAAGGTGCTCAAATTATGAATTTCTTAAGATGTTTGTAAAGATATTTGTATATAAGAATATGAGATATGTTTTAAAGGATTATTAAAAATAATTTTTTATTAGTAAAGAAAGATGCCAAATCTGTTGTACCAACAATTTTAAGTCAGTTGACTGGAACCAGTGAAGGTTAATAGCAGAATAAATTATCTGTTGACAGCAAGACAACATAATAGAATGGGTTGAGTTAATTTACTTTTCTAAATTATTGGTTGAGAATTTGCAACACATTTTCCCTTAGAAACAATGTTTTAAAATGTGGCTGTGTAACTGTGCCAAACATCAGAAACATTCATAATGAATTAAGAAATATTAATTAGTATTATTATAACATTTTGTACTTCCTAACAGTTTACAAATTTTTCAAATATGTTATGCTAATGTGGAATTGTAGTACTAGACCCATTCTATTTAAAATAGTTAAAATATCATTTCTATGAGCAAGTGCATTATAAATTCCCACTTGGAATACAGGAGATGCCCTTGTATTCTTTAAGACATTATTAGGGAATGACAATCCATTTTTACCACACTATGAACTTCTAGGCCACCAGGCAGCTCAACATCACCCTCCTTACTTAGGCTTTGGTTGATGTTTGCTTTCAACAGCTATCAACTGCAGGCTCTTTTTTGGAGGTCTGCCCTTGGGTTACCTTGGTAACTTTCTCCACAGATGAAAGAGCTGGAAGTGTTCGCAGTTTGTGTCCCCCTTGGCATGCAATTCAATGAATTTAGGAGTAGAAAAGTCCAACATCCTTGACTTGGAGTGGGGAACTCTGAGTCATACTCACAGTTCAGGGTCCACTGTGGGTTCAGGTTGAAGCTAATCCCTGTTAAATTTTGCCTGAGATTGCACCCTTGCTGGTCATTTTCTCACTCTCTCTCCTGCTTCCCCAACCTTACCAATCAGCATCCCCTGGGAACACTTTCTTAATGTATCATTTGCCTGTGAATATTTGTCTTAGGTCAGCTTCTGGGAAACTTGACTTAAACCAGTAGTGATCCTAAAAAGCAGGTCCTAAAGATAGGATTCTGAAGTGCAATCTCTCACAGGCTAGATGGTAGCAAGGACTGATTGTGGTGATAAATGGAATATGGATAATCTCTGACATGCTGACAGTGCTGGTAAGACTTTCACCTGTGGCGAAGTGGAATGGAATACAGGTAGAAGAGGATGCACTAACTCATGATCTCTCTAGCAGTTGAGATACATGGGGGAGATAATAGTTATAAAAAGTGAGAAATTGATTTTTGCTGAATTCTATTGAAGCAAAAAAAATGGCAAATTCAATTCAATCACTCAGCAATTTAAGGCACAATATAGAAGTTAGAACCCCTTTATCTCAGAGCCAGAGAGCAAGCTGTTTCAAGGCCAAGCCCAGAACTAATGTAAAACTAGAAGAACCTTAGGGAAGGCTAAATTTGCAGGCTGTGTAAGTCTCCTGAAACTTGAGATAGGGACATTTTGGTGTATTTTCTTAAGAACATTGAATCTCAAGTTTCTTCTTAACATTCTGGGAACCAAACATACAGATTAGCATATTTTGCTTCTGCTAAAAGATTACAGTGCCCTTGCCATTAAGTCTGAGCATGATCCAATTGAATGTTGCTCCTACAAAGATCAAAAAGGAATTAATCTCCAAAGAAGCTACAAAACAAAGTTTTATGACCAATAGAAACTGTCAATCATACTGGGGACAGATCTTGAGAGATCTAGTTCAGTAAAAGAAGACTGTGAAGCTGAGTAAGGGAGAAAGGGAGAGGTTTTATGTGGGAGTAAATCCACGACTCAGGATTTAATACACTGGAATAGGCATCTGGATCAGATCCTAATATGCTGAGGGGATGGCTCTGTGACGCTTGGAAACAATGATGGTATGTATTAAATAAAATGGAGATGTCAGATTTGCCTTGATAGAATGTTGAGAAGGGATTCCCAAGGCTCACATAAGTAGACTTTATAGAGTGACTCTGTTATGTAAAATCCAAAATCTTCTCCCCTGATGATCAGGGTCCTTAAGAGAGCCAGAAGACATTTTATTTTCAAAGATGATAAGGAATGTATCAAAGAGCAGCCCAGTAAGTGGCTGTTTTCTCTAAGTTGGTGCTGACAGTAGGAGACAATGTTGTGCTACTGGGCTCTCTAGTCTCAAAAATAATGACAGATTTAATTACTCTAATCTGCAGCCAGTTCAGAGTGACAGCTAGAGAAACTGTCCCACAGAAATCTTGATAACACTCAATAGATCAGAGTTTTCCTAAGGAAATTCAACAATAGTTTTGCTCACACGGTCTTGGCCAAATCATTGTCTGTGGGCTCACAGGCTGCCTGATTTACCAACAAGAGACTATACCTAGCATCATTTAGACAAAGGAGCTCAATTTAAGATGGAAGAGAGCAACTATGGGCATGTTACTATGGATTCATTGGTACTATCACATGTAGCATCACCAGAGGCTGCATCCTTTTAGAGTACTGAAATTTCCTCTTAAAGGTGTAGCTAAAGGCATCAGCTTGGAGATAATCATGTGTATTAATGAGGTTCTGCCTTTCAAGATGTGATGTATACTTTGAACTAAACATCATAGGACCTGTGACAATGATTGATGACAGATAGATATCTGGGAGGCAAGGAGTGCAACGAGTGGTCCTGCTTATTATCACTCCCAGTGACCCTGCTAGGGGAATCAATGGTGTCTGCTTTCAAATCTTACAGTTCTTTTCGTCTAAAGATCGCAGTTTCCAGAGAGAAGATACATTCATCAGGAGACGCTATAAAGATCCCACTAAGCCAAAGACTACAGCTACTACCTTATCATATTGTGCTTAAATCTTGTGGAAAATAATAGGCAAAGTAAAGAGTTGCCACACTGGCAGGGAGAATTGACACTAATCCTCATGAGAAGGTAGGTGTGCTGCTACCTAATGGAGGAAGGGAGAATATGTTTATAATTCAAGGACATTTCTTAGTACTGGCATATCCAGTTTTAACTGTGTATGAGCAATTACCACAATCTACCTAAGAAAGATAGTAAAGAGCACATATTCCTAAGAAATGAAGGCCTGGGCCGTCATTACCACCAAGTAAGTCATATGGACCTGCAGAAAGAATAGCTGTGGGAAAGAGTGATCTAGACTAGGTTGTGGAGGAAAGAGATGCTTAACACAAGTTTTGCTAAGTACCATTTGTGAAACTCATTCTAATAATTCTTCTATTGTTATGCTTCTCCTGGAATATCAACATCATGAAAACTCCATGTCAACTAATCCTCAAACCAAAAACATTGAATCTGAGCAATGCAAGAGGATACTGTAGCAGACAATATTGGTTCTCAGTCCAGATTCCTGCAGACACCTTGTTCTTTGAGTCCCTCCCTCCTTCCTTAAATAGCTCACTTTGCATATAATGTGTGCCTTCACTTACAAAAGCCAGCACCTGAGGACCCATGTTGTCAGTTCTAGAAGTTAGCTGCAAGTGCCTGGAGATAGTGTTAGCAGCAGTGAATCCTTATGAGTCTACAGCAACTCATTTCTTGCCTCTTCAGAGGAAAGAACTCAACTGAAGATCATAAGGAATAAGGAGAGAATGAGACAACTTTTAGAGCAGGAATGAAAGGAAGTAAAGTGCACTTAGAAGAGGGTCAAGTGGGCAACTTGAGAGATCTAAGTGCCTGGTTTTACCTTTGACTTGGGGATTGACACATTGGCATGCTTCCAGGATCTTGCATCACCCCCCTCCCCTTGATTTTTCCTTGCTATGGGCTGCCACATGCGCAGTGGCCTGCCAGGACTTTGGAGGGGCTGCATGCACAGTGTGTTTACTGAAGTTGTGCACATGCCCATCTGTGGCATTTTTCCCTTACCAGTCGAGTGTTCCTAGAGAAAGGTCATATACCACTTAAACTCTGCCATTTTGCCTCTTAATGCTCATGCTTGAGCCCACTTGCCCAACTCCTGAGATCTTATCTAGAAGCTGCTTATCGCCAGCATCACATGTTTTCTACCTATTGGGAGACTGCCTTTGCCTAGCACCGGCAGCAACCAATTATTATTTTAGAGAGACAGTTTAACAACTGCCTGACCATCACCCAGTGGTTGCCAAACATTCCTGTAAAGGGGGCGGGGGTACCTCTCCACTCCTGCTCATGTTGGCCTAACTACCTACTATAATAAGAGCACCCTGGACCAGTGCTTACCTGGTACAGGAATTTGAAAGCCAAGTTCACTTGCATAAGGACAGTACATAACTGATCTATTACTTAAATTTAAGATTTCCCTTTGGCTCAGGTCAATGCTACCTTTTGTGGCTCTTTGCTTGTGGTAGATTGTTGAAATAATGACCCAAAATGATTTGCTTCTTCCTTATTTATGCCCTTGGATAATCCCTACATACATTGACTGTGGTTTGACTATGAAAGTGAAACCGCCTGTGCAAAATTATAACTGAGGAAATTATGACAGTGAAAGAAATCAGATCTAACTGACTCCATCTTGCTGATAACCTTTAAGCCGTCCTTGCTCATTCCTGGGCATAGGCCGAATGAACTTTGGGAAGGAATTTAGTTCATGGTTTAACTCTGAAACGAAATCGATAACAGCATTCCTGAAAATACTCTCTTCTTGCCAGGGGACCAGTCTGCCTTTGCAGGACTAACAAATTAGCTGAAAGATCAGAAATTCCTGTATAGGGGTCATGCAGCCTCTGGCTCCAAGAGTCTGAACCTCCCCAAATTGGTCCTGGGGATAACATCACTATTGCAAAACCTAAGATCAGTGCTTGAGATATTTTGCAGATCCTGCACTTTATAGATCAGCTGACACCACCAGATCTACTGTGGCTCAGCCAGTTCTGCCATCTCATCCAGGAACAGAAGATGGCAAGAAAAACTCACTTCAACTCCCTATGATTCCGTCTCCAACCTGACCAATCAGCACTCCCTACTTCCCAAGTCCTTACTTGGCAAATTATATTAAAAACTATGATCCCTGAATTCTCGGGGAGACTGATTTGAGTACTAATAAAACTCCAATTCTCCTGCACAGCTGGCTCTGCATGAATTACTCTTTTTCCATGCAATTCTCTTTCTTGATAAATCAGCTCTATCTAGCCAGTGGACAAGGTGAACCAATTGGGGAGTTATAAAACTTGCTTTGACTAGGAGACACTAGCAGACATGATGCAGACAGAAGCTTCAACAGTGCTTGTACTTTGTGGCCTGTCCTCTCTCATTCCTCTTGAGGACCTTATAACCATTACCTTGTGACTAAGGCTAAACTAATCTGCTGGAGACAAATGGTCCCAGCACCTAAGCCAGGAGCCAAGACCAAAGGTCAGACATGTGAGTAAGCCCACCCTAGATTAACCAGACTGCAGCTAACTACAGTCTGATGGAGCCCAGCAAAACAACCACTCACTGAGCCCAGCCCAAATTGCTAACCCTGGAAATCATAGACTAATAAATGACTTTTATTTAAAATTATTAGATTTTGGTGTGGCTTTTTTGTATCAAATGTTTACTGATTTGCTACTATTGCTTCAACTTGCTTGTCCTATATCCTGCACTCTTATGGTTTCTCCTGGAAGTACATTCTGCATAGATGATTTCCATAGGAATCTTTGTCTCAGGGTTTACTTCTGGGGAACATGACCCAAGACAAAAATTTATTAACTCTCTGGATTTTAAGAAGAGAAGATAAGTGTTTAACTTATAAATTTACATTACAGAATGGGCACTTACGTCAGGTATTCTGAATTTGAAAAGGAAAGGCATTCAGAGAAAAGCATAAAGGGAATCAGGTAGATTTTGCAGCCTCCGTTCTTCTTTCCATTCTGTGTGCTGTAGCCATCCTATCCTCCTTTTACCAACTTTATCTATGAATAGCATGTAAATTAGGGGATTAGATCCTGTGTAGATATTTACAAATAGATTAATAATTCTAGAAATTGAAAACACATTCTAATGATAGGACAGATTATCTTTCAATTGTATTCTCAAGTGCTGTTTTCTACAACAGGAAAAGCAATAAAAAAAAAAAACAGGCAATGAGATATTTGTTGTCAGTTACAACAGCCAAGTATATGTATGTCTCTGTCATTTGTTTCTTGACAGAATAATTCTCAGAGCTCAAGAAGGGGTGAAAAGTCACCCGCTGAGGAGGTGCTATCATTGCAGTCGGTAGGAGGTTTTTAGTTATTTTACTGAGTTAAATGCCACTGGAGATCTCTTGTGTTATGACAGGAGTTCATCGGTATTTTTGAAAAAACACTATATCAGCATTTTTAATATAATCTTGTTTTGAGAGTGAGAAGAACAATGTTTCAAGGCTTTTTTACATTGAAATCGTATATAATAAGGTAATTGATATTTAAAATTTCATTCATCTCTATTGTCCTTGGTGTGCTTTTCCCAGAAGTGAGAAACATATTCTTTATTATTTTTCCAAATTCTGATAAGGTCTGATTGTTTATTTGATAAAATAAAGGAAACGAAAATCAGTCTCTATACATCATTGGCTTTTGTATGATTATTACAAATTGTAACTTTCATAGATTAGTAGTGTATCACAATTTAAATATGCACATTCTAACCTTGCTGTGGACTATTTCTGAGAGATGATATATGCTTAATTTTATGGTTAACAATCAGGCTTTAGATAAAATTATAAAATGAAAAATTAACTAAATCTTTGGGGATGATTACTTCTAACAATTAATAATATTAAGGGAATAAGAGACTGTGATAAATGAGGAGATTATATTTGAACTATTAAAATTAGCAGTACAAAGAAAAAGGAAGACTATGAGTTATATAAAAAGATATTAATTTGAGTTTTAACAAGTCTTCTCTGAAATAAATACTATGTTTCATAATTTTAAGTAAAAGTAGAGTATATGCTAATAAAATTATTCACTATTATATTTCAAATATACAAATCCTAAAAATAATATGAAACGATTTATGCTAGGAAAATATTGTGTGATCTCTGATAGGTTTGCATGTTCAAAGCTTTTGAGTGACTCTAAAAATTCTGAATTTTCCACTTTAAATAGTATGTTATTTGTCAATGAAAGAAAAATAATGTTTTTTAAAAGTGTAAAATGTTGTCTAAATAAATAGCATAGAGTTATTCTAAGGATTAGTCTTCTAATCGTTACTTGTCTTGACTATACTCCAGAAATATTAGGTATGTATACATTTGTCACCTTTCGTCATGTATGTTGAATTGCATTTAAGGATATATGATTTATAAATAATAATGAACATTCAGTTTTTAATGGAGTTAAATATCCTCCTGTTATGTTTCTCGCTTGGCAGATGTATAATTTTTTGGGCCATATGCATAAACCTAGGTGTAGAAAAAAGCACACGAAAAGCGAAGAGGCATACGGGGTCAGCTGCTCCCATTGTTTTCAACAGCATAAACTATATAATCACAGCAAAAATAGTATAACATCACAATATAGAGAATTTAGATATAAAATGAATTGACTGTGAATTAGGTCTTCTACCCAGACTTCATTCACAAACTGGGGTGGTATGATTGCTTTTAGGTGTCAACGTGGCTAGGCCATCCTATTCAGTTATTTAGTCACACAATAACCTGGGTCTTAGTGTGTAGGTGTTTTTAGATCTACAATCAGTTGACTTTAAGTAAAGGAGTTTATCCTTAATCATGTGAATGTGCCTCGTCTAATCAGTTGACAAGCCTTAACAACAAAACAGATTTCTATGAGGAAGAAGAAATTCTGCCTCAAGACTAAGTACAGTGTCAGCTCCTGGCCAAGACCACCTTCCCTGCAAATTTCTGACTTGCCAGCTCCCACAATCATGCAATCCAATTCCTTGAAATAGATGTCTCTTTCTGTAGTACATATACAGTATGTAATTTGTGTATATATATATATATATATATATATACTATAAATGCACACATATATAAGTATGTATGTAGTTCCATTAAATGAAGCTTAACCTTAAGCTGCCACCATTGTAAGTTCAGCCTAAAGGTTTCTCTGTACCTCATGAACTATAACCTAAATGGAGTTGTAAACAGACTGTAGCCTACTCTTCTGCCAATCATTGAGTTTTGGTCAATCACAGGTGGCCAACTGTTCAAACCATGTTCAAATAAGGCAAATACTGAGCTGTAAACAAACTGGTTTTCCTGTACCTCACTTCCATCTTCTGTATGTCACTTTCCTTTTTCTGTTCATAAATCTTCCACCACGTGGTTGCACTGGAGTCACTGAGCCCATTCTGGCTCAGGAGGCTGCCTGATTAGCAAATTGTTCTTTGCTCAATTAAACTCTTTTAAATTTAATTTGGGTAAAGTTTTTCTTTTAACACTCCCATACAGTATATGTATACACACACACACGCACACATGCATGCACACACATATTTATATTATAATACATATATAATATATACGGTATTTATTATATATATAATTTCTGTCTATCTGGTAGTTCTATCTGATATGGGCAAATTAAATTTCTTAACTTATTTTAGTTTTGGGGATTCTGGAGGTAGAAGGGAGATTTTTAAGGGCAGGGAAAAATACCATTTCAGAAATTCTGAAGATGACTGTTTAACACTGCCTGTCCTGAGCCCTGCAGAGTCAATGACAATAACACAGGTATCCACCACCTGAGAGAGTCTTAAAATTACTTTCTGGAATTCTTGACCGGCCATTGCCCCACAGTTATTTATGCCAATATTTAACTTGGAGTATATACCACTTCCAGATAGGGACCAAATTGTAGCTGGGACAAAGGTGGATTTGAATAGGGCAGAAAGTCCCTCAGAACTCCCAACATTGTAGTTCTGAAGTTTTTTCCTAAGCCTAGCAGTAATACAAATGTTTATTACGTGTAATTAATTTTTATATTAATTATCACATGATAATGAGGTTGTTGTCTATAAAATTTGTATGTTAGAAATCTAAAGTGAATATTAAACCTAGATATGGAGATCTGAAAGAGTTCTTGAACTTTAAAAATAATACACGGGTAGAAAATAGATATGTTGACCAGATTTGATAGTTCAGCATGCACTCACTGGACATGTTTACTAATTTCCAGGATGATTGTGTACTCAAAGAGAATTCTCCATGAATATTTCATGAATATCATGAGTCTGCATGGTCCAAGCCTTTTAATAATAATTAAAAAAATGTTTGAATAGCAAAGACCTGGGAAGGTAGAGGTTTAGAGATTTGCCTTCCCAGAGAGATCTGCTTCCATTCCAAGATAATAATAAATAAGGATAAATATTTCCTTCCTCTCCTGGAAGAGTTTATGTTCCAGTGTTAAGTTTGTCTCTTCAGAGGGTTGGGCAAATGTGTTATAAGCACTTGTGTAAGTTCTTAGTCTCATAATTTTGTATTTACTTTCCTATGATGTAAACTAACTGCATGAGAGGTAAAATATGATTCTCACTCATGTCACCCTGTAGGGATTCATAGCATGGCGACCTGACATGAGATTCTACTCTGTCAGTAATGAACTGTTTCTCTGATCTGGGAGCTTCATGGTCTCACTCTGTCTCCCTCCATTTCTCTCTGTTTTTCTCTGTCTCTCTTGCTCTTTTTATATATTTGTGTGTGTATGTGTATATATAAAAATACATGTATGTATTTGTATATATGTATATATAAACAAATATGAAATTATTATTACATAATTGATAATAACATTTTAAAAAGTATTGCAAAAGCTTTCTTAGGACCTTCAAAAGGATATTATAGGGATTCTTTGCAAAAAAGCAACTTAAAAAATTTGTATCTACTATATCTGAAAATTTATTTAACACTACAGATCATAAAGTTTTGAATAAGGTGGTCCCTTTTCCACTAAATCATTTTAATTTTAGAAAGAAAGATAAAATTATGAAACATAATAATTACAATATGTTAAAGAATATGCTAAGTGCCAATAAAGCATATATGAGTGCCATGATATAATGATACATGCTTCAGATCTGTTTGACTCCTCCTATATTTCATCTCTCCTGACTTCAGCCAGAAAGAATGGTTTCTGCTTTTCAGAGTTCACCACATTAGATTATTTTCATCAGCAAAATTGAGTATAATCTTGATCTCTTAAGGTATATAATCTAAATTATATCTGCAAAGCCCCTTTTGTTATGTAACGTATTTACAGGTTCCGGGGATTGGGGTATATGCATTTTTTTGGACACTCTGCCTATTATAACTCATGTGATGTGTGTACCATTTTTAATATCTCAAGAGTCTTAATTTCCTCATTTGTAAAATGAGCATACTAATACCTAACTCAAAAAGATGTTTTGAAAGTAAATCAGATAATTGCAAAGCACAGAATACCTCTCCTTCCTACTTTCTTTTTCCCTGGAGTGACCTTGATTTAATCTGACTTGTGTATGTGTTAGAGAGTGGTGATGATGAAAGCATTTCTCATGGAACTGAAATCAAGTGGTTCCTTTATATTACTCAGTGCTTTCAGACAGTATAGAACCTAATGAAATGTGTACTTAACATGTGTGACAGAGCTAACTATCAAGTGACTCAGTTAAGCCTTTGGCAAGTAATGATTCAAAGTCAGTCCAATATTGAATTCTTTGACAAATGACTGAAGTATTGATATTTTGTTTTGCTGATTAAAGAAGGATCCAAATGTGTTAGAGACAAACCTATAGAATAGTTCTGTTAATAAAGTCAGTGATGAGGACATTCGTTTATCTGCTACATCACTGCCCTAAATCTAAATTGATCCTCAGAACACAGCTGATAATAATCAAACATCATGCTTTCCTTGCACTATCAGAAAACATGCTTTAGTAATATGTCATTGCAAAATTCTTACATATGCAAAATAAATATACAGATTGAAAAAGTTCCTAGAAGAATAAGAAATGGCATGAACTGGATTAAAAGAGAAATATATAACAGAATTTTTTTAAAAAATACATATACCTCTAGAATTTGTAAAATATTTCAACAATTATCACTGAGATAAATATAAATTATTTTTCCAAATTTATGTATTCTCAAGGTTACATGATTTAACTACATGCACATAATAAAAAGTCACAGAAATAGCATGTATATTCAGATAATTTTCCTTTTTATATAAAAATGGTTTATTTACTCAATTCATATGAAATATAGGTGGATAATATAGTTTCATTATGTAACAGTTGAAAACATTCCAAATTTTCACAATTTGTATGGTGTTTACAAGACAGCAAAAATGTTACACGGAAGTGTAAGGGTTATAATATTTGCAGTATGTTAAATTAGTGTAAACTTTTTAACTACAAAACAAAGAATGAAAACTAGAAAACATAATTTGGAACGCAAAAACGAGAAACTCCCTGATTGGATAAAGAACAGATCAGTGCGCTCCTGCCCTTTAAAGCAAATTTTTTAAAAAGTAATTTTGAAAAGCAACTGCTATGGTTTGAATGTGTCCTCTCTAAAATTCATGTGTTGGAAACTTAATCCCCAATATAATGGTGCTAAGAGCTGAGATTTTTTTTGGAAGATATTTAGGTTATGAGAGCTTTGCCTTCATGAATAAATTAATCTCTTTATAAAAGGAGCTTTTGGGAGTCATTTCACTATTTTTCATTCTTTTGCATGTGAGAATAACAACCTTTGTCCCATTTTTGCCTTTCCACTGTCTGCCATGTGAGAATGCAGCAAGAAGGCCCTTACAAAATGCAGGGTCTTGATCTTCAACTTCCCAGACTCCAGAACTGTAAGAAAATAAATTTATGTTTTTTTAAAATGAACTAGCCTTAGGTATTCTATTATAGCAGGACAAAATGGACTAAGACATCTACTCAAAAAAAAACTGTTTTTTTTTCTCCTGCAAAAGCATTAGTGCTAAAAGTGCAAGGAAGTGGAAAAGTAACTATATCAAAAGGCAAATGACAATTGTCAAGGGAGGAGAAGTGATACAGTCAAACTCTTTTCATAGGATCCAGTTCTTTAAATTTTGGAAACAGGAATCTTATATTCTAGTACCATTCTATAGAACATGAAAAATGAACACTGATAATGTGTTTTAATAAAAAGTTGATTAAAATATGATGCATAGTGGAATTGATTTTCTTATTGTATTTAGCAATCAAGGCCAGAAGGACTGTTTACTTAGGTTTTATATATAAGAGTATCATTATTGTTGAGAGAGTATTTACATTTAAATAAATTGATTCTGAACCCAGTGCTCTCTTTAACCCAGTATGCAGTACTTGCAAACAAAGATATCTATTAAACTATAAAGAAGTATTTAAAAATACCTATTAAGTTAAATTTTATAAACTAGATTATCCAAACGAAGTACTCAAATGGGGCAAGTAGGTAACAATAGTGACGTAAAATAATGCTCTTCTCTTTTTAAATGAATGGAAAATTACAGAACCTTAAAATAGTTGCTGGACATAAAAGACTGCTATGCAGATTCAACATTGCCTATTTTCAGAATATTTTTTTTAAAAAATCTGGCAAGTACAGATGATTTTAGTCAAAATTAAGAAACTTTTAGCAAAGGCCACTGGAGAAAATAAATCATTTAAACTATGTACAATTTTATTTGTGATGATATCAGCTACAGTTTGATGACAAACAGGGCTGAATAATCAAGTGGCTCCAAAAGTTTGAAATATGACTGTCCTATATGAGTTAAACCATGGGGCATCAGAAAAGACAAGGTGCAGTTTCTGTTATTAAAAAAAAGAGCATTACTATCAAAGCAGCAGCAAGAATTGAGAGAAAGCTGATTAATGATTAATGTTTGCCTTAGACTAAAACAAACATTTTTTCAAAAGTTTTCTTTTATTATAACCTGAATATGTTTTAAAATGTGTGTGTTATGTATTTTCACTTTTCTTTTTCTTTTTTTATTTATTTTACCAGAAAAAATGCTGAATCTTTGGGGTTACTAACTATTCTAGTAATTTAGAATTAAAGAGATAAAATATTAGTTTAGCTAAAGATAGACTGTATCAGTAACACAGAGGTTCATTCAGCAATTGTAACGATTGTAGAAGGCACTTATGCTGTGTGAACTGAATATACTCCAGAGGAGAAGACACCACAAAAAAAGAAGATAAAATATCCAATCCTCACATAGTAATTTCTCAGTAGTAGTTAATTATTTCAATTCTGGTTAATATATTCCTGCTTTTTTCAATTCAAAGTGAATCTATTAACTGAATTCTAGTTAAATCTGGGAGCCAGGCAAGATTGGGTTTTTCCCAGGCTGGCTGAAGTCCTGAGTCTGGGCTATGGTAAATTCTCCAGACAACCAATCTCTTCTGCAAACTTTTAGAACTTAACATGTTTCTTACAACAAAATTCCTACTTTTTAATTTAATAAATTGTGTAAAAGACAAAAAATCAGTTCTCAAATACTAATTATCTTCGTGAACAAGGCGATTTATTCTTATGGGACAGTAAATTAAACAGAAAAGCTATAGGTACTGGCAAAAAAAAAAAAAAACAAAAACTAAAAAGCAAATCTAGAATTCAGTTAAAAAGAAAAAAAGATAGTATAAATACAAGAATACTAAATCCTATAGTTAACCTGCAAGCATTGGAAATGCCATCAAACAGGCAAAATGGATTTAAAAGGTCATAGACATACTTTAAAAAGTTCCAGGGTCAAAAAATGAATTGAGGTAGAAAAGGAAAAACACAGGATGACAACAGACATTCTGGGTGAGGAAAACAGTGTGAGCAAAGGGACAGACATGTCAGATTCAAAAATAAATTTGTACTTGCTGGAGAACAAATTGTGATTTCGAATAACATGTATTATTTTAAGCCCTTATTTAAATATGATGAGAATAGTAGATGCAGTGGAAACATGTATGCAAATATATTTTCTATTGAGATGAGGACTAATTAAAGGCATGTGTATGGAATTTCAAATGGAATACAGCCACATGCTATATAATTATGTTTCAATCAAAGATGGACCACATATACAATGGTACACCCATAAAATTATAATGGAGCTGAAAAATTCCCATATTCTAGTGACATCACAGACATCCTAATGTTGGAGCATGACCCATTACTCACGTGTTTATAGTGATGCTTGTGTAAACAAACCTACTGCACTGCCAATCATATAAAAGTATACCACATATACACAATTATGTGTAGTATGTATTACTGGAAAATGATAATAAACAACTATATTACTGATTTATGTAGGTACTGTGCTATACTTCTTTTATTATTATTATTATTACACTTTAAGTTTTAGGGTACATGTGCACAATGTGCAGGTTAGTTACATATGTATACATGTGTCATGCTGGTGTGCTGCACCCATTAACTCGTCATTTAGCATTAGGTATATCTCCTAATGCTATCCCTTCCCCCTCCCCCCACCCCACAACCGTCCCCAGAGTGTGATGTTCCCCTTCCTGTGTCCATGTGTTCTCATTGTTCAATTCCCACCTATGAGTGAGAATATGCGGTGTTTGGTTTTTTGTTCTTGCGATAGTTTACTGAGAATGATGATTTCCAATTTCATCCATGTCCCTACAAAGGACATGAACTTATCATTTTTTATGGCTGCATAGGATTCCATGGTGCATATGTGTGCTATACTTCTTATGTTATTTTAGAGTATACTCCTTCTGCTTATCAAAAATAATTGTTAACTATAAAAAAGCCTCAGGCAAATTCTTCAGAAGAAGACATTGTTATCACAGGAGATGACATCTCCATGAGTGTTATTGTCCCTGAAAACCTTCCAGTAGGACAGGATGTGGAAGTAGGAAGACAGTGATATTGATGATCCTGACCCTGTGTAGGCCTAGGGTAATGTGAATGCTTGTGTCTTAGTTTTAACAATAAAGTTTAAAAAGTAATAAATAAATAAAAGTAAACAAAACATTTATGGAATATGGATATAATGAAAGAAAATATTTTGTATAGCTGTACAATAGAAAGCTGTGTGTTGTGTTTTAGGCTGTTATTACAAAAGAGTCAAAAAGGTAGAAAATTAAAAAGTTTATGAAGTAAAAAATTACAGTAACCTAAGGTTAATTGATTATTGAAGAAAGAAAAAAAAGTGTATGTGTGTATGTATACATTTTTTTTCAGACAGGATCTTGCTCTGTCACCCAAACTAGAGTGCAGTGGCATGATCATGGCTCACTGCGGCCTTGACCTCCCAGACTCCAGAGATCCCCCCACTTCAGCCTCCCGAGTAGGTGGGACCACAGGTGTGTGCCACCACATCTAGCTAATTTTAAAATATTTTCGTAGAGACAAAGTCCCCCTATTTTGCCCAGGCTCGTCTCTAACTCCTGGGCTCAAGCCATCCTCTCACCTTGGCATCCCAAATTGCTGGAATTACAGGCATGAGCTGCCATGCCCAGCCAGAAAAATATTTTTTATATATTTATTTTATCTTACATTTACAGTGTTTATAAAATCCATAGTACTGTATTGTAATGTCCTAAGCCTACACATTCACTCACCATTCACTCACTGACTTACTCAAAGAGACTTCTAATCCTGCATACTTCATTTGTGGTAAGTGCCCTAAATAGATGTACCATTTTTACAATCTTGTATAGCACATTTTTATGGTATCTTTTATATGTTTATATATGATTAAATACACAAATACCATTGTGTTACAGTTGTCTACAGTATTCAATACAGTAACATGCTGCACAGGTTTGTAGCCTAGAATCAAGAAGCTACACCATATAGCTGAGATGTGTAGTAGGTTTCGGAAGGTACACTCTATGATGTTCACACAATGAAGAAATCGCCAAACAGCACGTTTCTCAGAATGTATCCCTCGGCATTAAGTGATACATGACTGTACACAAATATTCTTGGTAAATGTGTTTTATCCACCTTAATTATTTCTTACTAAGTAAAATGTCTGTGGAGAGAAGACTACCACCTAGCTTGAAAGGAGAGAAAATATTTATTCCAGAATTGAGAATTAGTGTGGGCTTTAATCCAATTTTTTTCCTCAGTGTTCCCTAAGAAAAA
Organism: Homo sapiens; assembly: GCF_000001405.40. Classification (NCBI taxonomy): domain Eukaryota; kingdom Metazoa; phylum Chordata; class Mammalia; order Primates; family Hominidae; genus Homo; species Homo sapiens. The sequence continues at coordinate 130,323,690 of NC_000004.12, read as the reverse complement.
AAATTTATATATTTTTTAACATTATAGAGCTCTAAAATTTGTCATCTTTCATAAAACAAGAAAAATATACATATATTTTATGGAATATGTCTTGCAGAGTCACTTCTCTCTGTGTGCCTCAAGTAATATTCATTCATAAATTATTTCCTGAGGCTGAATATAGTTGTGAGAATGTGTCTCATTTTGAAATGTACTTGGTAGTAAATAAAGAAATTTACTGGATAGAATCATCCTCCCCAAAATTATATATATGCAACTGTTTAAAAAATACTTTTTAAAAATAAATACTCTTTAACAAAAAATTGTGTTAAAATTTTCAAAGAAAATAAGTGGTAAGCCCTTATTTAAAAAAATGTCCAGAATTCATCACATGAGAAGAACGTAATTGGAGAAATTTTAATATAGGTGGTTATTAAAAGATTATCTCTTACCTAATGTAGCAATTAAATAGTATATTTGAAAGCTAGTCAGCTAACATCTTTCTGAACATTCACAAAAATTGGAAGTTCACAGCTTTGCAAATAAGTTTCTATATCCCATCAGTTTTACAGTTACTGTGTGTTTATCCTATAGTGTTTCTCTTGATTGTTTGCAATCCTTACAGTAATGAACAAATCACATCTCTCCTTTTTAACAAGTCTTCTTATCTAAAGATTGACATTTGTTTTTTCTACCATTCCTCGAAGTAGTTGTTATACCATGTAAGCTTTTTAACTCTAGACAGACTAATTTGTCAGCATTCTGTTTTAAAACATAGAACTGTCAGAAGGAAATGATTATAGCAATTCATTAGGAGAGGTTAAATTCTTTGTTCAGTTAATGTGAGTTAGGGAGCTCCTAAAAACCAGATGATTCCCCAGCTGAAGCAGGGTCAGGGTTTTTAGGGATCAGAAATGTTCATGTGTCCTTGCAGGTTTGGCTTAAGTAGCAATTTTTAATTTTAACTGAAATTCAAGGTTGATGTTTGTTCCTGTTATCATGCCCCTTGCTTGAGGTCCCAATAACAAACAGGTTAGTATTTTCTAAGAACTATTTCTGCAATGCTTGCAATTTTTCTGGATAGTCAAAGTTTATGGGATTGGAGAGGTAGATAGTAAATTTTTTTTAAAGAAGAAGAAAACATAGAAATCAAAGAGGAAACTAGGGACCCTGTCATGTCTGTTTTAGTATTCTTATAGAAACAGTTGTTCCAGCTATACTTTGATGAGTAAAACATGGAGTGGACATCACCTACCTTTATCTTTAGTCTTTTATTGGTGCCAAGGCTACATTTATTTTTTTCATATTATTTAAAATGTTATCTTTAGTTGTTTGATCATCTGATATGCTTAAGTGTTATCTATATATCTCTTTTATTTTGAGAAATATACAAAATCTTCCAAAATTGTTTACTGCTATACCACTATACCTATAGTCCTCATTAATTTTATGTTTCATTCACTTGAGACAAATACCACTGACTGGCAGAGACTCCTACCCAACACAAATTTCTTATCTGAACTACCACCAACAACCAACTGCTTTATCCTTCAGTCATATTCTTATGGCAAGATGAGCTTTTGATATTATATCTGCACTTTGATTTGTCTGCCTCCTACTTATCATATTCCAGCAAGAAGTTTATTTTTAATGCATATTAATGACATTACATTTGCAGTTGTTAAAATCAGTCTTGGAGTTTCTGCCTATTAAACTAGTCAAATAGAGGGTTTTGGTCATGATTCTTGAATGAATGTGCTTGTTGTTCAGCCTAATTATGAATAGTGCCTCCTTTTATTGGCACAAGAATCCCAATTTGAATAACAAGTTATATATTCACACATTGATAACTTGGAATAGGCAGTGGCATTATCATCAAGTCAAATGCAGTAGGACAGAGCTGAGAGGTAGAGGATACTACATGAAAATCATTATGATAAGTGTCGGATCTATATCTGGCCACTAAATCAGAAAAGACTGTTACACACCCTCTCAATTGGGTCCAAGATTCTTAATATTAATTCCTATGGCTAATTCAATTATTCAACAAGCATCCCACATCATTAAAATTGCTCAGATGGCTGTGCTAAAATGTTATACGGATCCGACCTAAGGCTTATTCTAAGTCAATTTGTTATGCCAAGTAGAGAGCTGTGTTATTTCCCATAGGTGTCTTTGCAGAAGTGGAAAAAGTCAGAATTATAAGAGATATATGTGGGCAGATTTAAAAAAAAAAAAAGCAGCCATACCATAGAAATGCTGCTCTCTGCAACATACACAGAGACCAAATTTAATAAGAAATTCCTCTCAGTAGAAATCTAGAGCAGGCATAAACATCACTTCTGCTTCTTTTAGACTTACTGCTTTCAAGTTTCCTGTTAACTTATTCTGCATCAACCAGCACAGAGGCAACCCAATCTGTAAGGGCTCTGAGGAACTTTATGCAGACACTACTAAACAGTACCTTACCTTATGCCTGCTCCCCATAGCTTTCTCTTCCATTCCCAAGACTAATCTAAGGCATTAAGGCATGGGAGGTTTGTGGGACCTTCTTGGGGCTCATACATGTAGAACCTGGTACTCTAAGAAAACTAATTTCAGGTATGAGAAGATTCCAAGGGGAATGTGAAGAAAAACAGAATATTTTACAGGGCTTTAGCAAGAGGAGGTTAAGCAAAATTTGGGAATAGAGGAATTGTGCTTGTGGATGTACAGCCAATTTTTTTGCCAATTTGAGTTTTATCAAGGGGGGAACGGAGGAGCAGCTAGAGGTTAAAGTCATGTTCAAGAGGAGATGGGAAGAAAAAGCTATGGAAAACAAGAACATATGAGGGCCACAAGTGAAAATTCTCAGCTTTTCAGTGTCTTGTTCTTTAGTATCTCTTGCAATATGCTATTCTAAAAATAAAAAGTGAAGCAGATGAATAGCTCCAAGCTAGAAAGAAGGAGAGGCAGAGAGAACTGTGGAAAGATATCAAATCAGGGAGCCCTGGAACCAGGAAGGGTGAGGGGGGTGTTGAAAGTCAAAGAAGGGGAATTTAGGTTGGCAGTGTGGCTGGAGACAGACTAGTGGGTGGGTGCATGAAGAGAGGGGATTGATTAAGGGTGTACTCTTATGGGTATTGTGGGAAAGACACATTCCCCTGTAAAATATAAGGAAAACTCGACTTGTTCACTAATTTTCATGAGGAAGGTTATGTGTGTACAAGAAATGAAATAGAAGTATTAACTCCTTCAAGTTATGGGAGCATAAAGTAGTTATGAAAGATGAGGGGTTTCCAAATAAGAAGATGAACAACTAGAAACAGGAATAGTCTACAGACTTATTTTTTATGAATTGGGCAGACTGTCATATTTGAGAGGACTCACAGAAAATAAATTCAGTGGACAAGTGTGCTTTCATATGTAAACTTCTATTAGATTTTTGTGGCTATCATCAGAAATTACTACAAATTTAGCAGCTTAAAGTGGTTCACACCTGTAATCCCAGCACTTTGGGAGGCCGAGGTGGGTGGACCACCTGAGGTCAGGGGTTCAAGACCAGCCTGGCCAACATGGTGAAACCCTGTCTCTACTAAAAATACGAAATATTAACCACGCGTGGTGGCATGCCGCCTGTAGTCCCAGCTACTCTGGAGGCTGAGGCATGAGAACCGCTTGAATCTAGAAGGCGGAGGTTGCAGTGAGCCAAGATCACGTCACTGCACTCCAGCCTGGCAACAGAGGGAGACCCCGTCTCAAAAACAAACAAACAAACAAAAAACAGTATCCATTAATTATCAAATAGTTCTCAAGGTCAGAAGTCCATTAAGCTTGTCTAGGTACACTGCTCATGGTCTCAGCAAACTAAAATCAATATATTGGCCAATTTAAGCTCTTATCTGGAGGCTCTGTGGAAGAATCCACTTCCAGGTTTATTCAAGTTGTTGACAGAAACTAGCTCCATTTGCTTATATGGCCCAGCTTGTTTCCTTGCTGAATATTGGCCAGGTGATCTCTGCTTCTATAATAGATGCCAACCTCAATTTTTGGCTCGTGGTCCCCTCTCTTCTTCATAACCACAGTGGCGAATCAAGTCCTTGTGACGCCTCTACTCTTTCTGACCCCTTCTTCTGCTCATCTCTTCTTCTCATCTTTTCTGTTGCATCTCTCCTTTCTCTAACTGGAGAAATGCCTCTGCTTTTAAGAACTTGATTAGAGTAGAACCGTCCAGATAACCCATGATAAATCCTTATTTGAGGTCTGTAATATTGATTACATGAGCAAAAATCCCTTTGGTAATGTATTATAACATTTTCACAGGGTCTAATAATTAGAGTGTGAGCATCTTTGGAGGAGTCACTACTTACTCTATCACAATCTGCATATTTAATGTTCTTTATAATCTTATCTGTATGCATTTATAAACATAATTCAAATATCCCTTCAAATGTATGAATCTGTAGAGAGAGCAAAATTTATTTTTGAAGAAAATCTACAGTGGAAAGGCTTATATCAATCGGAGTACAATATCCCCTAAAACATGGGAATTTTTTATTAGAAATTGAGCCAATTTGTGTAAAATAAGTGATTTATATCTATGTGCTTGAACCACTGTGGTACTCAGAATTTTTTTGTAAATGTTTTTGAGTAGTCCCCTTCTCACTCCCCTTGCTGACTCCTTTTAACCTTTGCCACTCTCTTATGCCCTTTACAATTTTTATTATTCTGGATCATTAGAAGAATGACTTTGCCTTCTAATTCACAAGGAACAGAAATGTGTGTGCCATCCACAAAAAATCTAAACATTATGCATAAATATATTCATTAGTATTACAGTTTCACAATTCTCCACTATAGGAAATGGCCTACTGAAGACGTAATGACTCAATAAGAAAAAGAACACAGGAGCAAGTTGCCATTGCATAGCAATAACTGCCTCATGTGTTAGATCAGTGCTATCCAATAGAACTTCCTGCAATGATGGAAATGTTCTCTCTGTGCTATCCAAGCGGTAGCTACTAGCCTCTCATAGCTACTGAGCATTTAAAATTCAGCTAGTGAAACTGAGGAACTGAATCTTTAATTGTATTTAATCTTATCTAATTGAAATTAATTGGCCACATGTGGCTTGTGGCTAGAGGCTACTGTACTGGAGAGTGCAGTATTAGAATATGGAAGCTTCAGTCCCCTCCCATACCCCTGACTATTCGGCCCGGGATTCCTGTGGCCTGGAAGTTGTTTCACTCTGCTTGGATTGCATTGATCACCAAACTTCAGCGCATTGCCATAAAGAAGTTCTGGGAAGCTGTGCCAACTCACGCCAGTTATTTTCTTGACTACATCCTTTACTCTGTTTCCCAGTCTACCAGTAAACTAACTAGAAAGCAACCATAAACAGAGCAGGAATCATCAATCTGTTTAGCTTTGGAATCAGAGCCACCATTTTTGGTCTGACCTACCTTCTCATACACAAATGGGATTGAAATATGGATTCATTTCTGTTTGGGAATCTCTTTAGATTTAATTTATCTGAATTTATTTATATATTTACCCTTTATGGAGTTTTCTAGATATGGTGTTTTCTTCTAAATTTCTTGTAGAGCTGAGATATAAGCTCCAGAAAAATAGAGTTGATCATGGAAACACCAGCCAAATCTTAACTCTAGCCACCTAGCCATAAAGTTTGGCAAGAATTACACTCCTCTTCAAAAGATTCTTTATTCTTCTATGTGGAGTAATTCCACCTCTCTAATAGATTTATGCACGATGAATCTCAGTGCATCACCTACTTCCAAGAATAAATCATAGAAATGTTACCCTCCACTTCTTTCCAGCACTGAGATACTTTTGGTTATGATACTATTCTATATGGTTTGACAAACTTCAAATAATTTAATGAAGCAATAATCCAATTCTGGGAGTGTAGCAATCATAAGGAAAAAAATCAGTCATGCGTTATTGTTATACACAATTTATATGAGCAAGCATTACTAAGTCATCTTAAATACATATTATTTTATTTTGTAACTGTTATTCATATTCCAAAGCTTATTCTCCAGCCTTCATTTCTCTTCTCCTTTGAAAAAAAAATTAAAATAACTGATCTGCCCTCTGAGAAAATAAGAAGGTATGCTACAAATGTAGACAATGCTGGCTTAATGCATGACTTCAAATTTCCTGAGGGTACTATTTTCCTGATAAGACGAAAGGAACTTTTATACTTCATCCAATCTTTTGTTAACTTTCTGATTTCTCTCTCAATTACTCTACACCAAGTGTGCTAATGGTCGTGATGGGCATGATGGAAGCTCATCCTTGGGAATTTATGGTGAGAATACAAACTGTACAGGGTGCAGAGCTGCTGTAAGAAGAGAATGTTTTTTTTTTAACCTAACCTGCCTGGCTTAAAGACATCCTATTGAATTGCCTCTGATCTAATTGGTACAAGGAAAGAGAAGGCAAAAGGAGTACAGAGAGAGGTATTATTCAAGAAGAGCAATAAAGAGAAATACATGACAATAGATATATTCTTTTCATAATCTTTTCTTTCATAATTTCTTTGTAGCTTTTTTTGTTTAGAAAAAAAAAAGAAAATCGCTATAGAAAGCCCAAATGAAAGACATATATTTCTGGTTTCAAGATAATGGCACCAAATATTTTAGCATTTTGAACTTTATATCAAGAGATTTTCTAATATTAAGGGCCTTGGTAACATATTATTTGAAATCCAAAAAGGAAAAAAAAAGGTAGCCTAAATTGAAAGGACTAAACGTCTTAACATTGCCAAAGAGATTTTCATCTGGTCAAGTGTGTCATCAAACTCTTTTAGTCACAGGGCTGAAACACCTAAGAAGCTACATTACTTATAGCATTATGCAGACCTACTAAAATCTCTATTTACTCACAAAAGAAACGAATTAAAATTAGATGAGAGTTTATTTCCCTGAATCTTTATACTTTAATATTGACTTCACTTGAATTAGTAGCATTATTGTAGTCATCTGTATCCTGATATTATCCACTCTGAGTTTTTAAACTACAAAATGAAAATAAATGTATTTTTAAATATAAATTAATTTGAATCAAGGAACGGAGTTTGTAACCCTGATTCAGCTGCTAAGTGACAGATCACACTGTAAAACTGCTTCTTGATTTTGGATTTTAAACTAATTATCTTAAATATCATCTCCTTAGAGAAGGACTTTGTTGACCACCATTATTGGCTACCTCAATTTCTTGTTCATTTTCTTTGTAACCCTTGTTGTACACTCATAATTATCTTATTATTGTTTTCTATCTTATAGATGGTTTCTATCTAACTCTGTATCTCGGATCAAGTAATTCAAGAACCTGTCTGGCCTTTGAATCTTCAAATCTATTTAAACTAAACCCTGGCACTAAGTAGGCTCTAGATAAAGACGTGTGAGGAGGATAAATTATTACACATATTAATTATTATTAATAATTAAACATTAATTAATCATTATGTATAAATAATTAATTACATATAATAAATTAAGGCTGTCAAACTACATTATATCTAAAATCCCTTTAAGTTCAAAATTATATGACTATAAAACAGTAACTAAGAACTCTTAGAGACTAATTTTAATGGTAACTAATTATCAATTTTTTGGTAGTTTTTCCTTATATAAAATTTGTATTAGCATGATAGTTGAAAAGTAAAATACATCATCTTTAATTTTAATTATTAGTAAAGTTGAATTTTTTTTACACATTTACAAGACAATTTCCATTTACGTATATTATATGTTAAAATGCCTTCCCTATTAACTTTCAATTTCCATTGTGTGCTACAGTGATTTTATCCTTTATTTTAAATGATCCTGATATATTTCACCTATATGTCAGAGTTCCAACATTTTTAGTTTCTTTTTAATTGTATATTAAACAATAGGTCAATATTTTAATTTGTGTTTTAACCTTATACGAACCCACAATCTTTTATTTGATATTTTTAAAACCAAATTTCAGAATTCAGAATTTTCTCCAAATTTAGGAAACAAATTTTAATCATACATAATGAAACATCTCCCTTCACCCAGCATCACATAACTAAACACGTTAACTTCTGAAGTAAAAAGTACAAAGTGTTCATGCTAGGCCTTGCAAATGAGTTTTGGTGTCATGTAAACAAATAATCACAAACTCCAGGTTTACATGCCTTTTGGAACTCTGCAATTATGGAAAAGCAGTTATGAACCTATATTACTCATGAATTTCCAAATAATACCTTTCTTAAGGTAGTCCCATGTTACTGATGACTCTACAATTTTAGGATTGAGGATGCAGAAAATATTTAGTTAGAAGGATTTTTTTATGTTGAAGGTTTTTAAAAGTGTATGCCCTCTACATCCTTGTTTTTCTTGGTTTGCCTCATTATTTGTCTAACTCTTCATTTTCCTTATCTTAAATGTAAGGTTTTTCCTGACCTATTGACTGGAATAGAAAACAGCATCCTTTCTTTCATTTAATCCACAACAATTTATCATTGTTTTGGCCAGGCACATTGACTCACGCCTGTAATCTGAGCACTTTGGGAGGCCAAAGTTAGGGGATTGCCTAAGCCCAGGAGTTTAAGATCAGCATGGACAATATGGCAAAATCCAGTCTCTAAAAAAATACAAAAATATTAGCCAGGTGTGTTGGTGTGTGCCTGTAGTCCCAACTACTTGGGAGGCACAGCGGGGAGGATCACCTGAGCCCCAGGAGGTGGAGGCTGTAGTGAACCATGATTGTGCCACTGCACTTCAGCCTGGGTGGCAGAGTGAGACCAGTCAGTGGTGATACAAAGTAAACACAGCAGGGAAATTTTCTACTTTGTAAGCCTAACATTACAGAAAGTAAGAAGAAATAAATGCATAATATAATATAATGTCAAGTAGTGATCTGTACTCTGAGGGAAAGCAGATCAGATAAAGGGAGAGAGAATGATGGAGGTGAATGCTGTTACAAAATCTGCAGAGAAGGCTTCTGATCAGATAAATTTAATCCTTGGGGGTGTCAGGAAACAAGGCTGAAGTAAGCAAGAAAGAGTGGTGAAAAATGATTCCTTAGCACCAGCCAAAGGCCAGATCTTGCTAGGTATTATGACATATGTCTGTATCCTTTTATTTCATTCTTCCATATTTGTAGTTGAACTCTGAAATCCTGCAAACCTGAATAAATAAAGCACACATAAAAATATTTATACCTGTGTCAAGATATTGGTTGCTCAGTAAATGTTTGCTAATGAAATGAGTAAATATATTTCAAATAATAGCAAATAGCAGAAAGGAATAATATTTTTTCTTGGTATTACAGAAGTAAAAATAAGAGTTCCCTTCAAAAAGAGAATACAAGCAGCAAGCCTGGTAGGTAAAACATGCAAGTTTGGATGGGGATGTTTGATAGAGAAAATATCGATTAATACTAGATGCTAAATTGAATAACTCCTATAGAATCTCAAAATAGATAAGAAAAAGAATGACATCAAGCTGACAAAAAGGAGATGAGAACAGAATAAGCCCTAATAATGAATGAAGTTTTTACTGAAATCAATTCAAGATTTGCCATTTAAACAAAATATCACAAACTGAGTGTTCTTTGAATTGAATATAATAAAGAGCTGGATATCCAGTTCTCTAAGTTTCAATTTTAAATGTGTCTGTAAAAACAATTAGAAACTTTGGTGAAACGAACCTAAATTAGGGATAATGAAGCTCTTTAATTCCAAGGGTAATTAATTAATAAGTTCATAATGATTTTTATTTTAGAATTATCTTGGCAGTGAGTCCTATCTGCTGAAAGAATAAGATAATATCAAGGCACATAAGTTAATAAATGAAATATTCCTTATAAATAGACTATGCACCACTCTAATATTAAGAATTGAAGGCAAAAGTGAATTTCTCTTCTATGAATTTCCTATTCTCCAGAGCAAATTATTCACACTTATATTGTTTTTTGAATGTGATGTTCGACTAACTTTACATTCAGTTTTTGAGGTTACCAGAAGAGTTTCCTTAACAAACATCATACCTGCTAGGAAATCTGTCACATGAGTGTTTGTTCTATGTGCTGTTTGATGAGCTTCTAATACATTGTTTCTAACTCTAGCCATTTCTGTATTTGCAACTACATAATTGGTGGACACTAATGAAATACTTTGTAATTTAGGATGAGTCACATAATCTCCCCATATAGGACATATGTTATATACTTTTTCAATTATATGGATTAGGAGAGATTATTTAAACCACGGATTCCCAAACTTTTGGCACCAGGGACTTGGTTCGTGGAGGACTATTTTTCTATGGACCAAGGTTGACGGGATGGTTTCGGGATGATTCAAGCATGTTACATTTATTGTGCACCTTATTTCTATTATTATTATATTATAATATATAATAAAATAATTATACAACTCATCATAATGTAGAAGCACTGGGATCCCTGATCTTATTTCCCTGCAACTAGACAGTCCCAGCTGGGGGTGATGGGAAACAGTGATAGATAATTAGGCATTACATTCTCATACGGAGTGCACAACCTAGATCCCTCACATGCGCAGTTAACAATAGGGTTCACGCTCCTATGAGAACGTAATGCCATGGCTGATCTGACAGGAGGTGGAGCTCAGGTGGGAATGCGAGTGATGGGGAGCAGCTGTAAATACAGATGAAGCTTCACTAGCTCAGCTGCCGCTCACCTGGTTCCTAACGGGCCACAGGCCAGTACTGACATCTGGACTGGGGTTGTGGACCTCTAATGTAAACTACACTTCCAAATCCAAGATTCTATCATTTTCTGAAATTCGAAGGAATCAATACCAATAGTAGTTATTTCAACTGTTTGAAAATCTTTTTCTTTTTTTTATTTTATTATTTTTTTTTGTTAGAAGGAGTTTCACTCTTTTTGCCCAGGCTGGAGTGCAATGGCACAATCTCGGCTCACTGAAACTTCCACCTCTCAGGTTCAAGCAATTATCCTGCCTCAGCTTCCCAAGTAGCTGGGATTACGGGCATGCGCCACTGGGCCCAGCTAATTTTGTATTTTTAGTAGAGACGGGGTCTCCCCATGTTGGTCAGGCTGGTCTCAAACTCCTGACCTCAGGTGATCCTCTTGCCTCACCCTCTGAAAGTGCTGGGATTACAGGCATGAACCATCACTCCCGGCCTCCAATTTTTAACGTATTAGTAGTGCCAATCTTTTACTACATCTAAACGGTAAAAGTTAATTATTTTTCTAAATCTTATATTAAGATGTTGTATAATTTTCTTATAATGTAGTTGCACACATTTTTCAGTTTACTTTGTGTACACATTTTTAAACCAATAATTTCATCTTTATTTTTACACGTTTTAAAACAAAGAATTCTGAGTAATTGTCAAAGTTTTCAGTCATTTTTTTCAATCTTTTTGTAAACAAATCAAAGAAGAGGAATATAGAGATCATTTGGTTTATATAAACATAGCATATGTTCATATTTATATGTAAAAAAAGTCTACACTAAAGTCAGAGTTCTTTAATATCATGCCTTTAACTGTCAAATTTAAATATTCGTCTGTAATTATGTGCTTCAAAAATTAAACAAAGATTCTTTCTCATCTCCCTAGAATTATCAAATTCAAAGAATTCTAAAGTCTTATGAGCCTCTCAAAGTCTGTCAAAAGACAAAAAACAAAAACCAACATGAAAAAAAAAATCAACATTCTGTGCTCATGAAAGCACTTGTAGAAAAAGGCTTACTAACATGCTTATTTCCAACCCTTCCTTTAAACAACATGTCATGTAACTTCAGGCAACACAATGAAAATTGGATGTAGAGAAGGTGGTGATCAATCTTACATTCAAAAAATGTTTTCCTTCTTCACTGTGTTTATGGTTTGGCTATGGTTCATTTGTCCCCAACAAAACTCACGTTGAAATGTGATTCCAGGTGTGGTAGTGTTGAAAGGTGGGGCATATAGGGAGGAATTTGTGTTATGGGGCCATATTCCTCATAAATGGCTTGGTCCTGTTCTCGCAATACTGAATTCTCACTCTGTCAAGACTGGATTAGTTCTCAGAAGAAATGGATTTGTTCCTGCCAGAGTGAGTTTCTACAAAGCCAGGAGGCGCCCTGGGTTTGGCCTGTCTCTGCACCCACATGGCCACTTTCCCTTTGACCTTTTCTGCCATATTTTGACCTACCATGAGGCCCTCAACAGAAGTGGAGCAGACATAGGTGTCATGTGTCTCATACTTCCCAGCCTGCAGAACCATGAGCTAAATAAACCTCTTTTTTAAATAAATTACCCAGAGTCAGGTATTCTATTATAGCAATACAAAACAGACTAATAGTCAATTATATGTTTAAATGAGGTTGTCATTGTTTTTACTATAACAATGTTTGATAGTTTCTAAACTTCTCTATCTTACCTCATCATCCACTCACATTTAAGAATGACACATTAATTTAAATGGCCAACTCTCACATTTTCTTTCTATTTCCTGAGATTCCAAGTTTTATTATCTCATTGTATGCTCTTCTACCAGTTACAAATAATAGAAAGTAAACTTTTCAAAAAAAAAAAAAAAAAAAAACCTAAAATCCAGGGCCTGCTCCTTATGAAACAAAATATGTCTCCTGAAAAATTAAGGTTAGTGGATACTTGTACAAACTTTGTAATTTTTCTACGTTTTCTGACAAACTCATTTTAGAATTTAGAATTAGTCCACACAGTAGTAAATGAAACACAATTATATGCTGAAAAGATCTTTTGTTATAACAAGCCAATAATACCAGGAACCTTAAATTAAGTTTATATAAATATTCATTCTAAAAAACTCTTGGGTGTGCTACATGTTTGTTTGCTGCACTGAGATTGTCTACCCTGGTTGGTAGTTACATATTCTTAGTATCCTTTAATGGCTGCCTTTAGATTACAATACTTATTCTCAATTTATCACGTTCAAATATATTCTAATTATCTATCACTGCATAGAAAACTATCCCAGACTTACTGGTTTAAAACAGCAATGTTAGTTCTCAAAATGTTATCAATTTACTCATTGCTTCTGCTTGTCCCACTGGAGCTCATTTATGCAGATTGTTTCACTCAGCTGGTACATGGGCAGTGGTAGAAGGTTCAAGATGTCCCCACTTTCATGTCAGAAGCCGTGGTGTTTGCTCTCTGCTGGGGTGTCTCTGTTTTCCTCCATGTGACTTCTCATCCACCAGTAGGCTTGGCAGAACGTCTTTGCTTCATGGTTATCTCAAGACTTCCAAAGAGTGAGAAAGGAAGCAGGGCCTCTCAGATATTAAGATCTGAAACTCACTTAATGTCATTTCCACCACGTTCTATTGAAAAAAGAAAATCCCAATTCCAGTTTAGATTAAAGAGGGTGATAAAAATACACACTGGCCGGGCGCCTTGGCTCATGCCTGTAATCCCAGCAATTTGGGAGGCCAAGGTGGGCGGATCACGAGGTCAGGAGTTCCAGACCAGCCTGCCCAATATGGTGAAACCCCATCTCTACTAAAAATACAAAAATTAGCAGGGTACGGTGGTATGCACCTGTAGTCCCAGCTACTTGGGAGGCTGAGGCAAAAGAATCATTTGAACCCGGGAGGCGGAGGTTGCAATGAGCCAAGATCGTGCCACTGCCCTCCAACCTGGGTGACAGAGTGAGATTCGTCTCAAAAAAAAAAAAAAAAAAAAGACACCATGTTTTGATGAGTGGACTGTTTTAATATTACATTGCAAAGGGATATGGACAAGCATAATTCATTGTGGGGAATTATTATCTACTACAGTTAATACTCAGCTCCCAATACAAAATATACTCAACTTCTTTTCAGGTCTGTAAAGTTTCAGCCAATGACAGCAACTGTTTTAGGCTCAGAGTTCTGGATCTCATTCTCTAAATCAATTACAGATGCAGATGAAGCCCACTTGAATGTATTTTCCAAGTGCAGCCCCTCAAATATACTTGTTAATCCAGTGACCTGTAAACTGAACAGAAAAATTACCTGATCTCACAACACAAAATAAAATGGCAAGATAAGGACGGGATAACTGCAATAGATACTACTGTTCTTCAAAATAATCAGGGGAGTGGAGAAGATTATCCAGAATAGACACACAAATCCATTGCCATCCTCAGACTCTTGGGACCAGGGACAGTTCCTCAGTTAGAGCCTGATTCTACCCCATAGGCGTAGTTCCTTAATCTGCTATTCTTTCGGGGTCTTGAATTTTCCCTCTGGGATTGCTGAACTCTCAGTAATCCTTCCTGGTTCCTAAGAAATGGCTCATATTTGTGTGGTTTCAGGCTGCTCCTTTCTTATGGAAAACTGGGGGCCTAGAGTCCTCTTATTCCTTGTAACTATCTCAATCCCTTTTATTCTAAGATGGTATAATTCCTTTAAAAACTTTTCCAGTTTATAGTCTACTCTATTACACAGTGCCTCACATACCACTCTTTTTGAGGCAAAGTCCTTTCCACTTTGATTACCATGTCATGGAGCTGGAGAATAATTCCCTTAAAATTCTTAGAATCTCCTTTTGTATAACTTAAAGGTTCTATTATCCACTGCCTTAAATTACTCTGTAACATACCCTTGATTTGATCTTGACCCAGAGCTCATTTCTTACTTTTAGAATGCTTTTCTGGCCGATGAAGTTATCCTGTACTCACTTTATTTTCTCTAAATTCTGCTAAGAAATGGAACACTTCCTTCTTTAATTGACCTCTCTTTTGCAATGTCTGATCATTTACATCTAAAATAAGCCAATTGGTACTTTAAACATTCTGCCTGAAAATCTTATTAGCAAGATCCAATAGTTCACTGAGGCATTTACTGTAGGTGACAGATTTGCTAATTTTTCTGTCATTATATGACACAGGCTCCCATTGCCCCCACTTCTACTAATGGTGCCTGAGTGAACCACTGTTTCTCTCTCCAGCCTTTACCTGTTGATGGCCTCAAAGCAAATGCCAAATATTTCACATTTTTATATCAGAAACGACTGCTGTAATCAGTGCCTGTTTCACTTATTTATGGCTTCATAACAAACTACCCCTAACTTAATGGCTTTAATTAACAACAAGCTGTCTTTTATAAAACCATTCCTGAAATCAGGAAGATTTATCTAGGCATGGCAATTATCAATAGAGTGTATTAATTCTTCTTGGCTCCTTTGAATGAGCACAACTAGTGCTTAAATATCCATAAGAATGGAAACCTCTTGTTCATAGTGTATAGCTCTTTTTTGACATTTCTGAATTATCTTTGTTGGTGATTTGGGGGATTTTTTTTGTCTTTGTTTATGGGGGATTTTATTTTGAGACTGTTTTGTTTTTGTATAGTGTTTCCCTCATTTGGTGTCAGGTTAGTGCTGGCCTCCTGGCATGAGATGGGGGTTGTGCCCTCCTTGTCTGTATTCTGAAGAAGGTTATGTAGAATCAATGTTGGTTCTTCTTTGAATGTATGGTGGAGTTCTCCAGTGAGGTTATTTTGCCCTGGAGATAATTTTTTGAGAGTTTTTAAATTATAAATTTGTTTTCTCCAATGCTTATATAGCTATTTGGATTGTCTGTTTGATCTTAGCTGAATTTTGGCAATTTGTGTTTTCCAAGGAATTCATCCAATTCTTCTAGATTGTTGAATTAATGAGCATAAAATTGTTGATAGTATTCCCTTATTAACTTTTTAATGGCTAAATAATCTGTAGTAACTTTTCAAAATGAAGTAAATCTCATGAAAGTAAAATATATACATATAAATATATATATATATGTCAGAATTTCACAAATGAAGTTATAAATTGATAAGCTCAATTCAGCTTCAAGCTTAATCCAAACATTCTCTTGACAGTCATATCATTATGACAATCACTTGAAATTTACAAAACAGGAGGATTCTACATATCACAGTAGACCATTCTCAAATGTTCAGCATTTAGGAAATTTATGAACTATTATTCACAAATGAATGGCCCCCAGACTATTTGCTGGTTTCGCCCATCCTTACTTATAGAAAGCACCCCTTACGAATCAAGAAACCACTCTTAGTACAATCTCTCACACTTCCTCCCTGCTTTCTTATTCTGTGGATCTGTTTTCACTGAAGAACTTTAGTAAAAACTGGAATTTGAGAACAATAATTTAGTTGTCTCACAAAGCTTTTCTTATAAATTACTAGTTGGCCAATTTTCTGATAACAGAGATACTAGGTCTCTGAGTCAAGTAACAGACATATGTAGAGTTATAAAGTATATTCTTTGTTTTTACACTCTAGTTCTATTTTATAAATTGGCAAAATAATTAAATGCAAGTGAATTTTTCTCATGGGAGATGACATCACTAGAATTCCCTCTTAGGTCTTATATGCTCCTATGTTTGTTCTATTTGACAGAATTTATATAAGATGTACATTTATCTCTACGTTTTCTTAACCAAATAAAGCTGTGGTCTATTCTACTCCATAGATGTAGGTCCTTAATCTGTTATTCTTTGGGGGTCTTGGATTTTCCCTCTGGGCTGGCTGAACTGTCAGTAATTCTGTTTCTTAAGAAATGACTCATATTTGCGTGGTTTCAGGTTGCTTCTTTCTTATGGAAAATTGGGGGCCTAGAGTCCTCTTATACTTGGAACTATCTCAATCCCTTTTATTCTAATATGGTATAATCCCTTTAACAACTTTTCCAGTTTATATTCTACTCTATCACACAAGAACCTCACATACTACTCCTTTTGAGGCAAACCCCTTTCCACTTTGATTACCATGTTGTGGAGCTGGAAAACAATTCCCTTAAAATTCTAGGAATCTCCTTTTGTGTAACTTAAAGGTTCTATTATACACTGCCTTAAATTACTGGAGAGAGGAGTGTTGTCTCCTTCCTTCCCCTCCCAAACACTTACCTCTTCCCACCCTCCCCACATCCATCATTTTGCACTTTTTGTTGTCACAGCCTGGGGGCGCTACCACCATCTAGAGGGTAGAGGCTAGGGATGCTGCTAAGCGTCTTAAGATGCACAGGACAGCCCCCTAATACAAAAGATCCACCCCCAAATGTCAATAATGCCAGGGTTTAGAAACTGTACTAAAGCAATAAGCTGTCTAAAATAAGTGACTAATAAATATTTCTTCAATCCACAAAAGTGTCAAAGATAGAATATTAAGTAAACAAATGTTTCAGCAAATAATTTCACAAATGCCTCTTATATAAAGTGTACATTATGAAACGTAATTTTAAAAGTGGTCATAGTTGGCTGGGCACAGTGGCTCATGCCTGTCATCCCAACATTTTGGGAGGCCGAGGCAGGCAGATCACCTGAGGTCAGGAGTTAGAGACTAGCCTGGTCAACATGTTGAAACCCCGTCTCTACTGAAAATACAAAAATTAGCTGGCCGTGGTGGCGGACGCCTGTAATCCTAGCTACTCAGGAGGCTGAGGCAGGAGAATTGTTTGAACCCGGGAGGCAGAGGTTTCAGTGACCCCAGATCGTGCCACTGCACTCCAGCCTGGGTGAAAGAGTGAGACGCCATCTCAAAAAAAAAAAGTAATAGTCAAAAGAGGCAATGAATAACATTTATTGAGTACTCATTGTACACAACATACACACAATTAGATGTTATATGTTATAGTTTCTTACTCTTTTGTAGACAAGTAGTTTCACCAAACTTCTGGTGCTTTCCATATGTATTTTGGAGCATTTTGTACATTATTACTGCATTATATTCAATAAACTGTTTCATAATAAAAATGTTTTCCTTTAAAGATTTCCAGTTACCATTGAGAAAAACCAATACTTATTTTTCTCATAAAGGATATACAACTTACCTTCATGAAACTTGAACTACCTAACTTGAATAATAAGCTGGACAATATGATGCTTCATGTTATACTTAGTTCTTTTCTGTAAAATTCCTTATCCAAAGCCATCAGCCAGGTGCATTCCATGTGATTTTATGCACACACCCCAAATGAAAAAAATTAATCGTGGTCATTTTTTGCAACTCTGAAAAAATATAAATGGTTTCAAAGTAGAACAATATCTTAAATTCATTTTATTTCATACTTTTGTGTACATTTATTCACTCATAAAATATTTTTGATTTTTAATAAAGTCTTTAGAGTATGCTCTTGCTGTGAAGGAGTCTACACCCTTATGAGAGAGTAAGTGTACTAAAAATGCTGAAGTTTAAGATTGTATGCACAACTAGCTACAAATATAAGTGTAACTGATAAATACAGAACATCATCACAACAGGTTGGTGCAACCAGTAAAAACTTTATTTACTTAAAATAGTGGCTGATGTACAGTAAGATCTCAATTAATATTAATGAAAATTGTAATCCATGGTATTTTAGTCAGGCTCTTAAGAAAGACTAGGCTTTACTGAATGACTGTAAGTATACACATTCCAGGTTCAAAAACCTGAATGAGGATAAGCAAAAAGAATTATAAATCATGCCGGGCACGGTAGCTCACGTCTGTAATTCCAGTACTTTGGGAGGCCAAGGCGGGTGGATCACCTGAGGTCATGAGTTCGAGACCAGCCTGGCCAACATGGTGAAACCCTGTCTCTACTAAAAATACAAAAGTTAGGACGGTTATGGTGGCTCACGCCTGTAATCCCAGCACTTTGAGAGGCCGAGGCTGATGGATTGCCTGAGCTCAAGTGTTCAAGACCAGCGTGGGCAACACAGTGAAACCGCATCTCTACTAAAATACAAAAAATTAGCCGGGCATGGCAGTAGGCAACTATAATCCCAGCTACTCGGGAGGCTCAGGCAGTAGAATCGCTTGAAGCTGGGAGTTGTAAGTTTCAGTGAGCCAAGATTGTGCCACTGCACTCCAGCCTGGGCGACAGAGCAAGACTCCATCTCAAAAAAATTAGCCAGGTATGGTGGCAGGCACCTGTAATCCCATGTACTTGGGAGGCTGAGGAAAGAGAATTTCTTGAACCCAGAAGGCAGAGATTGCAGTGAGCTGATATCGCACCGCTGCACTCCAGCCTGGGTGACAGAGCAAGACTCCATAACAAAAAAAAAGAAAAAAAAAGAGAAAGAAAACAAAGAATTATAAATCAAAAACACAATTAAGAGGCTATACATTAATCATTTTTGGTGAGCATTGTCTTAGATCATTTGTGCTGCTATCACAAAGTACCTGAGACTGAGTAATTTATAAACAACAAAAGCACAAATTTATTTCTAACACTTATACAGGACGGAAAGCCCAAGATCTAAGCACCAGCATTTAGTGTCTGGGGAGGACCTTGTTGCTGTGTCCTTACATGTCAGAAGAGCAGAAGAGAGCAAATTCATTCCCTCAAGCCCTTTTGTAGGGGCTCTAATCCCATCCATAAGGACTCCATCTTTTAAAGTCTTTTAAAGTCTCACCTCTTAATGCTACATTGAGTGGTTCAGTTTTGACATATGAATTTTGGAAAACACAATTCAGATTGTTGCAGGCATTCAAGTCTTATAATAAGAGAAGAGGTTGGAAAGATAATTAGAAACATAATTATAAAGTGTGTTAAAAGTCATGAAGGCAATAGATACCACGGCTGTTTAGGAGCCAGACATCATCAGAGATTTTAAAGACTATTCTGTCAATAGCATGCAGGATGAGTTGGCATTGGGGTAAATGTCAGAAAAATGACATAGGTAGTTACTAACATCATCTAGTTATCAGATAAGAGTATAGTCTAAGATAATAGTAAGGAGTTAGTTAAGTATAGACAGACATGGAGAATCAAAATTTACCTCATCTTGTGAATAAATGAAATGTAGAAATGGAGTAAAGAGAAGCAAAGTAGTTTCAAGCTAAGATGACTAGAATATTGTTGGTAAGCACCGGCACAGTATAGGCAAAAGAAACATCGTTTTTTGGAGAAGGGTGAGAAGTTAAAACTTGACGTTGTTAGCCAGTAAATGACTAGACAAAGCTTTATACTTCTCCCCAAAGCTATTAGTAATAATCCATTAGTTAGGGCTACTGCATTGTTAACCTAAGTATACTTTTTGTGTTAAAATACTATTTAAAACCATAAAGTGACATCATTAATTTAAATTATACAGAATGTACAAAAAAGTACAGTTAATTTTTTTCTTTTATCAGAATAATTTATGTGTCCCATCCAAGAATTCAAATGTTAAAATTTACAAGGAGAAGCAACATTCTTGTGCCCAACCCCTCCTCTCTCTAGCCTCCCATCTCCAAAAGCCACAAGTTTTAAAAATGTCTGATTTTAATTTTTATGGTAACAGATACATCTCTGAATAATGTAGTGATATTGCTCTTTAATTGATTAATATTGAATATCTGTAGGCATTCCTGCTATGCTAGATGAGAGTTGAATTCATCTACATAAGCCCTCATCATCCTTCCATCTTACGGTATAGTTATAACAATATTCTAAGCTCCTCCACACATTAACTCTGAACACCAAATAGTATACTAAAACATTCACTTATGTTTCCATCAACAATTGTCTATGCCAGTTGTCTCTCTGTTCTCCAGATTGTGAACATTGCCAAACATTAGATTCCTGCCCTGGTCCTGGGAGTGAGAGACTCATTGTGGTCACCAGCACCCATTTTTTTCCACTTCTTTCTTGTGCACACATCTTGATCACATTTTCCAGGCTCCCTTTAAGTTAGGTATTGTCTTACTTCTAGCCACGAAAAGTTACCACAAATAGGGCATGCCAGGTTCAATTTGGTTTCTAAAACCTTTCTATATGTTTTTGTTCTCTTTCAATGCTCACAGGCTGAAGAGAAAGAAATCTGAGTGCAGATTTCGGGAAAAAGAGGGAGTCTGTTTCTCAGAATAATTCGTGAAGCCCCTTTCTCTACCAAATTGTGATGTGAAGAAGAAAGTAACTTTCATTTTGTTTAAATATTGAAATTGGTGAATTATTGTTCCAGCACTTAGCCTACCCTGACCAATATAAATATCATAACTTAAAGCTCAATACTACCAAACAAAAACATTTGATAGCATTTGGAAAGAAAGGGTCAAGGAATACTGGTGATTGGAGAGCCTCAGTAGCCAAATGTTTGGTAAAGCTATAGCTCACAACATCTTAGAAGATAGATCACATATTTACCAGCTCAATGGGAAGTGATTGGAAAGAGACATAATAATAGTGTGTTGATTATAACTGGCCAACTTTAGTAATGTATCATTAAAAAGGAGTAAACTCAGGAAAAGGATTGGTGACTTACAAGCAAAAATGAAAGAAAACAGGGAGAGTTGAGACAGTTGGGGCTCTAAAGGATTTGAAAAGCTGACTGCTTCTAAATCTAAAAAGGAAGAAATAACAGTTAAAAATGCATTCAGGCAACAAAATCTATTAAAATCAAGTATTGCAGCAAAGATCAGTTGAGGAGATTGGCTTTTTTCACCTAAGCCTGATAGTTTCACTGTGAACTTCACTAAGTTAAGAAAGATTCTTGGAGGTGAGAAAGCAAAAACATAAACCAGGCTTGAGGATTACGTGTAGAAGAGCAACGTAGGTGTGGCTACTGACATATGGAAATAAACATGTAGAGCTTAGAACCATATTACTTTTAAAGGGAATTCATATCCAAATTATGTTATAAACCTAAGTTTAAAATAAAAAGCCTTTATTTAGTAATGCCTGTATGAGTTGAATTGTGTCTTCCCAAGACTCATATGTCCTAACCCCCAGTACCCTAGAATGTAATCTTATTTGGAAATAGGGTCATTGCAGAGATAATGGGTAAAGATGAGGCTATACTGGAATAGAATGGACCCTTAATTCAGTATGATTTATTTTCTATAAAAAGATAAAATTTGGACAGATGAACATTTATACAGGGAAACACCATGTGAAGATGGAAGCAGAAATCTACAAGCCAAGGAATGCCAAAGATTGCCAATAAACCACCAGAGGCTAGCTGGGACAGGCATTGAACATATTCTCCCTCATCACCCTGAGAAGGAACCAGTCCTTTCAATACCTTGATTCAGACTTCCAGGTCCCAGACTGTGAGACAATACCTTTCTGTTGTTTAAGCCATCTAGTGTGGGATACTTTGTTACAGCAGCCTTAGGCAACTAATACAATGACCTATAAAACAACAAACGAACATGAAATACCAATGTCCTGCTTCCTCTTTTATCAAAATTTCATCAAGGAGCTCCAGTTAGTTCCATTAGTAGGGGGCCTCTATCACTGCTGCTCAAAAAAGTTACCACAATACTATGAATAAGTAACTATTGTTTGAATCATTCTTCTCCCTAATGACAGTAAATTTCTATTATTGTCATTCTATGACTGCCAGATTTTTTTAAATGGTGAAACAGATAATTTGTCTCTTTGGTTCACAGGTTTGCCAAGGGACAATCTTAGGACCCGATATTCATCCTCAAAAAATCTTGGATAATTTGTTAGATGCAATAATTTGATGGGACTTCAAATTCTTCCCCCTGGAGGACAGTTGAAGGTGTTTTATGTGGAGGAGAGTATAAACTCTATTTTCATGAAAAGAGGGGTGGATTTTTCAGAGATTGCTTCTGTTTTTCAATATTATTTTCTAGCCTTGCTAGGAACCACAGGATTATATTTTTCAGCTTTACTTGCAATTAGGTATAGCCTTCTGACTGCATTCAGTACAGTGAAATCTTAACAGAAGTGACACATGCTACTCCCAAGTCTGGTCCATGCAAACCATCCTTGCATGAATGTGTTTATCTTTCTCCATCCACATAGTAAATGGAGAGGATTCTGAGGCTGGCAAGATCAATTGCCCCAGCTTGCCTCAGCAATCTGCTGAGGATACTGAGGAGTGTACAGAAAAAAGGGGGAAAAAGGTGGGGTCTCCGAATGACTATAGAAAGCAGAGGTTTTGTTTGTTTGTTTGTTTGTTTGTTTTTACCAGTGCACACCAGATTGTGATATAAGGACAAGTGAACTTTTGTTATGTAAAGAACCTAAAGTCCAAGAGTTGTTTTTAACAAATTATAATACACTCACGTCTTCCATATCTCCTTTTCCTCATGCCCATATTTTTCTACCTTTCAAGGTATCAGCTCTACTTTCACTTTTTGATCATAACTAACACTGA
Organism: Homo sapiens; assembly: GCF_000001405.40. Taxonomy (NCBI): domain Eukaryota; kingdom Metazoa; phylum Chordata; class Mammalia; order Primates; family Hominidae; genus Homo; species Homo sapiens. The sequence goes on along the minus strand of NC_000004.12, from coordinate 130,300,633 downwards.
TATTCTGTCCTGTTACCTTAATTATCTTTATTCTTTGTAATTACTTAAGTTTATTGTGAAAATTGGAAACTATATAGATTGATTCATTGAAGAAAGTTAAACTAGAGATTATATATATATATATATATATATATATATATATATATATATATATATATACTAAGCAGGAATAAATTTAATAGCCAGGATTTAAGAATGTACACATTGTTGAAAAGGCTGAAAAGAATTGTGAATGGGTCCATTGCAATGACTTCCAGAAAAATTCATAATTAGACTCCCACTATGGGAGTACTGACAACCCTACCACACTCTAGTGGACCTATTTATGTCTATACCGGAAACTACCATTCCACAGGCTATCACATCTGAAGATGAAAAATGAACACCCAAAGCTATGGCCCAAATTTTAGGGAATCAAACCAAGAGGTTGCTGCTACTGACACATTTTCACAAAATGCAGGGAGTATGGGAGAAAAAGGAAATTAATTGTAAAAAACAAAAACAAAAACAAAAAACATTATCTTGTTAGCCTTACTTAGGTAATGCTAACTACAAAAAGTAAACATCTGTATCTCAACGTATGACACAATATAGGTTAGTATAAGTTTTCTTTCTTGTTCCTGTAAAGAGTAGGCAGCTCTTCTTCAAAAGGTCATTTAGGGACCAAGTCTCCTTTCATCTTACATCTCCTCCATCTTAAACACATTTTCTAGGGATCCTGAAAAAAAACATTTGATGCCAGTTTTACTGTTTTTCTTTTGTAGGTGGCATGCTATTTTTATATGTAAATATTTATAATCTTTTTTTGAAAGTTAGGGTTATAAATTACAAATTTATATTTTAGGTCTAAATCTTTTTTTCATTTATTACGTTAGAAATTTAGTTGAATTTTGATTTGGACACATAGATTCTCATTCAGCCTTGAAACTTATATCTAATTTATTTTTAATAAGTCCTTAGAAGGCTGCATGGAGCACAGCAAGAGAAGTAGACAAAAATACTGATGGATGATTAAGGGCTAATAAAGGCCACAGCAACTACTCAGGGAGAGTGCAGCCCTGGCATCAAAGGAAATGCAGTTGAAAGTTCCAAAGATAAGAGCAATTCTGCAAAGATCCCACAAAAGCAAATGAGGAGAGAAGGCAACTCTCTAGGACCAAACTGCTTAGACTCACTTAGACTGCATGAATCAAGTAGGAACTTTCAACATCCTTTGCCCTCCTTCATATGCCCTGACCCTTCCCAGAAAGGTCAGAAATTTTGGTAAGCAAGCTAGGCCAGAAGAAATAAAAGTAACAGGATGGAAAAAATAAAAATCTAACCAAAGCCCTTTTACTCATTAGCAGATTCAAAGAGGGAAATGACATATTAGTTACTAAAGAGGAACACTTAGCACTTGACAGTGACTAGGAATTGTCTTAATTTTTTGTTAGAGAGCACAAACCCACTAACTAGGTTTGAAAAGCCTGGGAAACAAAAATTAAATCACTTTATAATAACATTCCTGAAGTCTTAGTTTTTCTAAGAAGTGGTTTTAAAAATGCACTATGTATTATTGAGACATTATTCTCTGGCCATTTTATCAAATGAATTTTTAAACACCCATTGTGAACAGTTGTAAAGAGAAAGAAACAAGCAGAGATTATAAAAATTATCCCAGCTTCATTAAAAATAGGACATGAAAAACTACATAAGAACTCAACATATAATTGTACAAAGCACTTTAAAAATCTTACTATTTCCTTTGGAAAAGATAAAAAATTTGAATGAACTAAATAATAATGTGGGTATAATAATCTGTAGCCAATTTTATAGCCACTCCCAAAATGTGTTAAGCAATGAATTAATACCAGTAGAATGAGATATTTTACTCCTGTACTTTTGGATATTTCTGTATCTTGGATGACACATACATGGCAGCAACATCAAATGGGCAAAATAGAACAGTTTGGAATAACCTAGCTAGTATATTAGATCCAAATATTCCCCAAATCAGGCAGGGTTAAAGTTTGATGAAGGCATATAATTTACCCAGAATAAAAATACAGTTCTACCTTTCAGTTTAAACATTTTATTTCATAGAGATGGTTTAGTATATCTTAAATAGGTTACAATGAAAGTGATAATGTAGATGAAAATTATTTTGTGCCTACTTTATAGTATACTTAGCCCTCATAACAGTACTATCCAATAGATATTATGTTTACTCTCATTTTTGTAATGTTAGGAAACTGAGGCTTATACAAGAGAAAATGAAAATTCTAAATTACAGTCATTCCCATTGTGAGAAACAATATTTTGCTGTTTAGTGGCCTGAAAGTTCAAGCCAACTGCATTCTCTATTTCTCCAACATGGCTTAGGATTAATGGTAGATTGCTTCTTGAATGAGAAACACTAGACTTATACAATTGCAAGTTTACTTCTTCTCACCAAGCCACAGTCTTTCTTTATTGGTTACAAATCCATAGAAGCAAGCTTTATTTGCTTTAATGAGCACTCTAAGTACAGCACTAAAAAAGTCTTCTTTTACTTTAGGCTTTACTCCTCAGAGTACATCTGTACAATTGCTCATACTTTCTATTTTCTATTAAAAGTGATACCATTTACATGGTTTTAGATTGAATGTGGGACCACCGAACAAGGAGAAAGAATAAAAAGGGGTGACGTGGAAACGAATGTTTCTTTTGTTTACTCTAATTCCCAACTTCTCTTTCTGAAATTGCATATTAAAAGGGCATATTCAGCCCTGTCATTTTTAATGTGGGCTTTCATTTTACTTTGAGCATTTTATAATTTATGATGAGACACTATAGGGGATAAACATGTAGCTTAATTTTGTTATCTCATTGGAAGTCCCGGGGAGATATGATGTAGATTATGAATAAAGAAATAAAATGTTCAGGTTAGTTTTGTGATCCAATACCTAGCATCTCTAAAACTTAGCATCCTCACAACTAACTGTACTTGACATGGAATAGCTAACTCCAAATAAATTTTCTTGAAATGCAATAATTCAGCTTTATCCTACAATCAGATTTATTAGGAGATTGTTATTTCCATTTCCAGATCTTTGTCATTATTGCTATTATCACTTGATGTAATAATATCAAAAAGATGCTCATCTGACACCAGATCGAAGTCAGAGATTATGTTCTAGGAAAAAAATAATATAAGCAGTAATATAAGCATTTTCTACTATATATCATAGAAAAATATCAGAAACTTTAAAAATATATAATCAAATGCAGGAAATTAAGCACTAGTTATGTAATATTTTAGAGAGCACTGTAAAAATAAATAAATCATCATGAAGCATAAAAGCCACACAACCTTGACAATTTACATTATTGTAAGGCATTATATTTTAATACATAAGATGTATCTGTTAAAAATTATCATTTTTTCCAAGTACACTTTTTCCAGTGTTAAAAAGCTAAGCTAAATAGGAATACAGAGTAGATAAGGTGCCAGCCCAGGAGAGAGAGTTTTGGTATCATTTGTCTGATTGACACAATATTAAGCAAGGCGTTTAAAGTCCCTAAGAAAAAGTTTTCTCATTTTTGAATAAGAGAATCAGATGTGTTAATTTATAATCTCTTTTGGATCCAATTTTCTATTGTTCAATTATTGTACTTCAGTATTAAATAAAAAATTATTCAATGATACTTGTAAAGTATGGTAAGGAAGACCATATCCAGGACCATAGCAATAGGTACAGGGACCCCTGTAAAGGGTTCTTAAGTGTAGGAGGGAAATTGGACTTAATTCCAAACATAGCCTGGGCAAGCAGAAATGTATAGCCAAAGGGCAGGGTGGGTTCAGTGGATGGAATATTGCTAAAAGGAAACTTCAGGGGTGAGAGGGAATTTTGGCAAACTAACCTAACAGAATTCTTACTGAAGACAGAATAGAGTGATCAGACATCATCTGGGGGATGGTGGAGCATGAGGAACCTGTTATATATGGAAGGTAATGAGACAGGAAAGGTTTTTGCTCAACTGGCTTAGCAGGTTCTTTACTAAAACTGGATTTTGCAAGGAAGTGCACAGATGGGCACAGAAGTTTCAGGAGCCTAACTTAAGTTTGGCCAAGCAAATAAATGTTGCTATAAGAGTGAAAGTTAATCACAATCAAATTCTTTGTTTTTTTTTTTTAAACTGAGTCATAAAATGTTTTACTTTTTAAATTTAAAATATTTGTTATGCATTTCACATTGGAACTTATCCTACACTGACCTAAAATAATGTTAGGCTTTCCTAAATGAAAATACCAGCTCAGAACAGTATCTGTTTTCCTGCTTCCCAATCACTTTGCAGAAAGGCATCATAAATAGAAAAGCATCAAAATCCGCTCAAATAAATTAATGCTAGTTTTGCATTGTATTTAAATCTAAAATGCATATCTCATTTCTCTTGCACCTTGAAGCTATACAATGTTCCTTACTAATCACAGAGTTTTGTGGGATTGTGTCCCCTCTCCTCATGAGAGCATCCATTCCTGGCTGAGCTCACAGGGGAAAAGAAGAAAAGGAAAGAGAAGAGAAGAGAAGAAAAAAAAGATAAGAAAAGAGAAAAGAAAAGAGGAGAAAGGAGAGGACAGGAGAGGGGAGGGGAGGGGAAGGGAAGGCAGGGCAGGGCAAGGCAGGGCAGGGCAGGGCAGGGCAGGGAAGGGAAGGGATCTGCTTCCTTGTAATAAGCACACCAGGCAAGGCCTATTTTCCCAGGTCCTCCAGTTTCAGTGTCTTTGGTTTTAAATTAAGTACATGGTCCCTGAGTGGGTTCTTGGATGTTTTCAAATGGGAAGTTTCAGTTGTGGAAATAAATTGTCATCTCATGTCCACAAATTTGGAGGATTATCGGCCCTTAATCTACATTATTATCTACATTATTATTTTTTAATCTGCATTATTAAAGATAATGCTTTCACCCACTCAGCGTCCTACCTATTCTTCATTGATTAGAACCAGGAAGGAAGGAAGGTAATTATATTACTATCCCTAAAAAGCTATAGTGTTATTATCCTGGGATATTTTAGTAAATTGGGTACTTCTAGCACTTCCACAGAAGACCTCTTTTTATGTTTTGCAGTAAGCCTCCTGTTTAATGGATTTGTATTGGATAATATTTCTCTGCTCTGAGAAGTATCACTGCAGATATGAATGTACATTGTTATGCATTAGTGGACATTTTAAACATCATCCAACATTTCAATAACTGGTAAACACAAAATATATTTTAGTTTAATTTTTCAAGCAAGATGATTTTAAACATCAGAGGAAGTGGGGCTTTTAAGAAAAGCATAATAAATTCTCCACTAGTGAAATGTGAAGTCTCCCATTCAGTACAAGGACCATTACCATGAAGGGACTGAATTATGCAGTGAAACAAGGCCCAGAGAGTGAATCATTCTATTAAGAGTGACCTCATTCCAAAAATCCATTTCTAAAATAAAAAACATTATCTTTTGAAAAACTGATTGTGAAAAAGCACCGAAAACCTTTTAAAATATTTCACAATAAAAGAGATTCAAGCCCAGCAAAATAGGAAGAGATGGTTCAATGGCCATTTTAAAAATGACAAATAGTTTTCTTTTTTATGTAAAGTCTTTAAAGTTACTTCTGTTTTTCACTCACATTTCATATTTTCAAAAGTTTTTATGATAAACTTAGATAATGATAAACACAATAAATATCAACTAAACAGTGGGAATAAGGACATTATTCTAAAATTAAGAAACCAAGATGCAAATAAAGATTTATATCATTTATTTGTAATGTATGAATAATGGTCTCTAAGCTTCTTTATATAATGCATTCAATAAGAAAGATTTTCTGGGTATTTAGTATGGCAGAAATTTTTATTGCCTATTTAGGAGAGCCCTCAACCTTTCTATATTGCTGAAAGAAATACTTTATTTTTCCAGAAATTTATTCATTTGCCAGACTACTTAGGGAAGGGTAACCTCAAATTTAATTAAAGGGACCCTGATCAGCCTAGGCTAGTCATAATAACCACATTCTCCTTTGCCAGTGATTGACAGGGATTGCTGTGTGACCGGTCTTGGTCGATAAGATCTGAAAGAAAGTTGGTACTGAGGCTTCTGAAAAGCTATGTTTTGTGAAGATTGCTGTGAGGTGATGTTGGGATATGCCACAACCATTTTGCAAGCATGAAGACAATCAGCTGCTAAACAAAGCCAAAACAAAAAAACGAAAAAAAAACAAAAACGAACAAACAAAAAAAACGCCAAAGCAGAAAGATGGACATAACATTTCTACATAAATGCAATACACAGTATCATCAACCTTCTCACTTCCCATGCCTAGGAACATTTGCATATATGAAAAAATACATATTAAATATCACTGGTGTCTGTGACTTGTGACTGAGGACATGATACCTGATAAGCTGAGAATATAGCTGGTTTTAACTCAGCAAAGAAGCAGTTGGAGTTAGAGTAGCACTATGCAAGTCGTGGATCATTTAAAAATTTAATAAGAATTCAGCTAAAGAAATTCTAGAAATTCTAAAAAGTGATATTGTAATTGTTTATCAAGCAACATTAATAAGCAATTTTATTTTAATGTTCTCTGTAGAAAAATTAAAGAAGAAAAAAGTATAGTGGTCAGATTATTTCACCTTCAGTTTCAGGGAAGAGTGTAGAGACCATTGAAATCTTTGAATGTTGCTTAGTCATGCTCATTTGACAGTGTCTCAGCTAAATAAAGCTTTAGCAGAGAATTAATTATCCAATCCATTAGAGGTGCCCAGATAAATGATAGTTAAAATTCAGGGTTTTAAAATTTAGACACAATTCTTGAAAAATTTCAGGAATGTTTAAATTAGGCATTATGTTTTATTCATTCATTAATTTATCCATTCTTCATCCATTTATCATTCATGCATTCAATTCATTAATATTCATTTAGGTAATACATATGTAAGTCTCAGAATATGAGGCACATTAGATATATTGGAGAGTATGAAAAATGTTTTGCTTTCTTGGAGATAATCTAGAGGAGAAAAAGATGTCATAATTAATCAAATAATTAACTATTTATTTTAACTGTGGGAGCCAGTAAGATAAAAGTTAGGGTTGTAAGGCAATGGATCATAAGAGTATCTGATCCAATGTGGAAGTTGTCTATGAGCAGTGGCTTAGCAAAGAAGATGACTATCAGTGGGGAATAGTTGGCCTCATGGGAGAAATATTCTATCAATGACATTCCGAATTGCCAGTGTATTATGATAATAAAAAGCAGATCAACTTTTAGTTGGCTTTATTATTGCTTTAAAATTTTCACATATTCCACAAATAATAGGCATCTCTTATTCCCTGCAGCATGGATGTGCTACTATTGCTCCCCTGTTCTTGGTAAACATTGTCCATAAAGTGGTAACCCCTGTCGAAAATGACATCTTCACAAAATGTGTAACCATGTGACTCAATGAAAAACTAGGATGCATGTCACTCATCTATCTATCCCACACCAAAGAAAATCAGTTTAAGAGCTATGAACAGATTTTAAATGTGGATATTGAGTCTATCTAATTTTCCATACTCTCATTTCTCTGAGTCATGTACTTCCCTACCCTGCTCCTTTGCAGGTTAATATAGGGTCACTGAAATATAATAATGGACATTAGGAGGAAACAGATACACACACACACACACACACACACACACACTTATTTACTCCATTTTGAAAACATGAAGTAGCTTCCTGCCCACACACACACGCGCACACACACAATCTTTTGAGGGGATCCTTGATATATTACATCAGAGGGATTGTCTCCTAATTGCATCAAAGGGATTTTAATTCATTCTTCTTGTATCTAATACAAGAGCCTTCTTGTATTAGATAAACTTTTGTTTCTTGGATTGGTTAGTTGGTAGAAAACATCATAGCTACAGAGATGAATGACTGGTAACTATATTTTTATTAAACTCTAGAACCGGCCGGGCGCGGTGGCTCACGCCTGTAATCCCAGCACTTTGGGAGGCTGAGGAGGGCAGATCACGAGGTCAGAGATCGCGACCATCCTGGCTAACACAGTGAAACCCCGTCTCTTTTAAAAAAAATACAAAAAGAAAAAAAATTAGCTGGGCGTGGTGGCGGGCGCCTGTAGTCCCAGCTACTCGGGAGGCTGAGGCAGGAGAATGGCGTGAACCCAGGAGGCGGAGCTTGCAGTGAGAGGAGATCGAGCCACCGCACTCCAGCCTGGGCGACTGAGTGAGACTCTGTCTAAAAAAAAAAAAAAAAAAAAAAAAAAAACAATCTAGAACCAGGATTACATTCTGGAGAAGAGTTCTTAGTTGTCAGACATCTTGCTTTGCCATTCTTAACTTTGATTAAATTTTCTGTTCTTAAACTAGTGATAATTTTCTCAAATTTTAATATAAAATTTTAGTTTAAAATATTATTGACCTTTTTGTGTATATGCAACTTTTAGATCTGCATCATTTCTATATTTTAAACTATTTTTTAAAATTAGTTTTAAATTAGTTTTCAAACGTTCACAAAGTTGACAATTTAAAAATATGTAATGGCCAGTTATGCTTTTAGTCAGAAGCATGAATATAGATGCCAGAAAATGGGACATATATTCTTTATAAGTGACATAAGAATCTAATGCTAATGTACATTAATACAAACAATTTTGAATGTTCAAATATATATGTTCAATCCAAAGGAAAAGTAAATATTTTTAATGTGAACTAGAAAATCAGTTTTGTTACATAAAACATCTGTAACTAAGCAAAGGGAATTTTTAGTTCTATTTTTGGCCTTTTATAATTAGGAGACATTTTATCAGTGCAAATAAGTCATACTATTAGTGTCAATCTCATTGTATATTTGGAAAAATGGAGTTAATTATAGAGATGTGCTAAATGGAATAGAAACATATAAGAACCCTGAGAATATTAAAATTCCTTTAAATGTTAGGCACCTGTTTTAACATACATGTTTTCAAAAACTCCTGTGGTTTATTATTGGGAAAGGACATTTAAACACCAAATCACATTTAGATATATTTTACGTCTTAAATAAAAGTTTTACATCTTTGTGTCTTAAGTATTTGCTAATAATTTTAATTCTTATCTAGTAACTGAATGCATCGTCTTCGAAATCAGTGTTTCCCAACCTTAGCACTCCTGACATTTTGAGGGGAATGATTCTTGGTTGTGGGGAGCTGTCCTCTGCATTATAAGATATTTAGCAGCTTCCCTGGACTCTGTCCCCAGATGCCAGTAGCACTGCCCCTCCCCAAATATGACCCCAAAATACATCTCCAGACCTTGCCAAGTGTACTCTGGGGAGGAGAACCACATTTGCTAGAAAGCCACTTCTCCAAACACTGTGGGGAAAAATAAGACAGGCGACCCTAAAATACTTGCTGTAACAAGAAAATAACTCCAAGCCTCACGTATAAACGAGAGTCAGGAGTAACATTTCAGTAAATTATTTAATTTTTGTTTTTCAGGTAATGTGTGAGTCTCCATGATGATTATGATAAAAGAAAACCAAGCAAAATATTTTAAAATGCTGAGATGAGAAGGCCCCTAAGGAGTGTTCTAACTTAGCGCCTGAGGGCAGGATAATTTATAGGGTTCTAGCAGAAGGTTCAAAGTTCACCCAAAATTCAGATTGTTCAATGAATGGTACTTACAATATAATTCATCTATTCCCCCAGACAAGTTCACCCTGGTTTGGAAAGCAGGGGTATTATCTTGTAAGTACCATTCATTGAACAATCTGAATTTTGTTCAGGTGAGTGGCAAGCCACAATTGGGGACTAAATATCATGTGCAAAGTTGGAAGGTGAGGATAGAAAGGAATAGCTGCAGGGAACAAGAACATAAGAGGGCCTTAGTTAAAAGATCTCAATCTTTCACTGTACTGTCTTTCTGGGTCTCTCCCACATGTACTTAATAATGTGCAATAGTTTAATCCCCAGATAGCTCTCATGACTCTTCGTGGCAGTAAGTTGCAGGTTTTCGTTCTCTATCCATAAAATTGATAGTTTTTCTCTGAGCCCTACAATCTCTGCATATTTGATTCCCTCACATACAATTGACAGATATGCTAAACACAGAGTAGAGCTTGTTGCAAAGGAATTAGGCTTTTAACTGTATTATAATGTCAGTGTGTTATTGAGATTTACCGCAGACAAAGATAGAATTAAGTTTTCATTTTATTAAAATTTTATAGTATCTATGACAAGAGAAACTACGTTTTTATGGTCCACAGCATTTCACATCACTAGCACGTTTTGCAAAGGAATGAGTGAAATGAATGAATATATCAGAGTGCTGGTCTATTTGCCACGTTTTCCTACTTTGGTCCACAGAATTTTGGCTCTCAATTCCAGATAAAGTAAAATTAGCCAAGTTGTAAGTATTAAGATAGACAGACACACACCCCCACATGCATAGAAGATAGAAGTACACACACACAGTAACTGAAAGCTTTTTAAACCTAGAATTTTATCAAGCTGACAAAAAGAATTGTTAAGAATAACTATAGTCTCATGCTACAAGGACTATATGTTATTTATTATCCAAGCCATAGTAAGTTGAGAGAGATTTGATGTTGATACTAGTATACTTTTAGGCAATGTAATCTGATTACTTTGATAACAGATTCATGACTCAACCATTTGTTAACTCTTTTTTTTCTTTGAGTGTGCTTCCATTTTTTAAATTAGAGATTCAGTATTCTATCATAAGATTATTTAAAGAATCAAATAAAATCGTGAAGGTAAAATACTTCACTGCTTGATGTAGTGCTAATATTCACTCAAATATTAACAAATGTTTCATAAGTGTTGGACCCGTTAAGACTTTACTGTCCATCCCGAGAAACTGAAAACCATGCTGCCAACACTTAATTATCATCAAAATTTCATTTTTCTTCTTTCAAATTCTTTGATGCTTTTCTGTAAGCCCCATAATGCTCTTACTCATTATGTCTGGACTTTTGTTTTTATTCTCCCCATTTGGGGGCTCTTATTGCAATGTTCTTAGTGTGTGGAACCTTAAATGCTAGTTGGCTGGTTAATTTAACAACTAAAACTTTATATTTTGATTTTCATGGAAGGCTTTGCATTATCCAAATTGTGTATTAAAACCCTTGTTGTCTTCCTGGATGGCCAATCTGTGAAACACTTGAACAATGCTGTGTTACTTGCTATCTTTAACCTTGTCTTCAACTTCTCTGGCACCCAGCTGAGCATCTCCGGTACAATATCATCAATACCTGCTCTGACAGAAGGTCAGGATGTTGTTCAGGCATTTCATCCTTTCAATTACATGGCTGTAGGAAAATGTCCCAAGACCTTCAATGTCAACCTAACTGTAGTAAAGAAAACTCATCACCTTTCCTGCATTATTATTTTACCCATGTCTCTGAATAAAGGCAAAAATGTAGAAGCAATTACATAACTTACTACAGTTCTTTGTATGCAAATAGATTGATTTATAAATGCAGGAGGACTCCATGTGATCATGAAGAATAGTACTGACCAGGTTCATGAAGACCAATCAATTTTAGGGGGCCTAGAGAGCTAGATTTGGTATGTTTTATGGAGAGAAAAAAATTGACCATATTGTCAAAGATTTAAATCAAAAAGTAGTGGAATCATGGAAATTGTAACACAAACACCACACACAAGCATCAAACCAATTTTAAAATGCCTCTTTGTATGTTATATTGATTTTTCATTATTTTGACCTTAAACCTACTTGGTTGTGATACTAATTTTCTACTCAATCTTTGTTTAGATCCCACTGGGATAGTGATATACTGTGATTACTCAGAAAGGCAGAGAAAGAGGAGATTAAGACTCCCTGCTAATGAGAACAAGGGAAGGAAAGAGAAGTGTGCCAATCTAAGCGTTCTGCTTGTAACTTGAGCTGCCAGACAGGAGGAAATAACTAATGTTTCATCAAAAATCTCTTTTTGATGCAAAAAAGAGTCTAAAAATAAACATAAAGCAAAACACACAGATTAGATTGACTACAAGGAAGTAGCATACATTTATTGTACTACATTTTAATAATATTACAAATGTAAAATTATCTTCAGATTATTATTCTATGTAACTATAAACCACATTATTTTCTAAAGAATTTAATTATTTTGTAAGAATCTAAATATGACACATTTCAGGTACATATGTACTAGCTTCACTTTAAATGTGCTATTTTATTTATTATAGTATATATAACCATAAATGGCAAGTTAATTATAATATAGAAGTATTTGTATTTATACATGAAAAAGTAAAATAATTACAAATAATCTGTTAATACCCTATTCTTATAGTATGAGGTTTATAAGTAATGAAAATAAGCAATATCAGAATGTTACAACTTCTGAAATATATATGTGCATATATATTTCTATATCATCACTTCATAATTTTTATAAATACTTATTTTTGTATAAACTTTTAACTTTCATTTATTTTCTTTAATCTTCCCTAAAGTGTCTCTAATATGATGCAATGTAAGTAGTTGAATTTTAAAAACGAGTTTTACTATAAGGATTATAGACACTTTTAAATCTTGCAACTATTCAGATATAACCAGAAAACATATTTTTAAATGTCAATTATATTGTGTAATTCTATATTCCATTTGGCTCCCCATGTTGAAATGGATAGTCTGTGAATATTAATTAAATCCGAATGTTCAAATATACTACTCAGTTTTCATTTTCTCTCAAAATTGAGTTTTCTTCTGTGGTAATCTGATTTTTGAGAAAAATTTAAATTGCTTTAGCCACTCTCTTTGAATGGGTTACTAAGTTAATAGACATGAACAGGATTTGAGTTTCACTGGACACAAAGAACCAAAGAGTATACTCTGAGGATGTATTAACCATATACGTTTAAGTGGACCAAACAATGCCTGGAGCTTTCTGCTTGTGAAGCAGTCTGGTGTAGTTGCTTAGTTTGGGAACTATGAAATCTGATGGATTTAGATTGGGAAGCATACTGTTGCTTCCTAGATATATGAATGTGGTCAAATTACTTAATTTCTCTAAGCCTTAGATTCTTTATCTGTATCAGTGCTAAAAATGCCTCTTTGCTTTATAGGGAAGTTGTTGGATTGCTATAAGAAAATGAATATACTTCACTTAATTGCTTTATACGCATTTATCATGATGACGTTATAGTATTATTATGTTTGAGTATCCTATTTATCCTCTTTTGGAAGGAAATAAAATGAAACAGGGGCAAAAGCTCTCTGGTTGAAGTTAGCACTGATTAGAGTGAAATAGTTCAGAGGCAGAAGAAAAGTAAAATGAAGAGAATTCTGCTTCTCTGAAATTGGTATTTGTCAATGAAAATGGCATCCTATTTTGAACAGGATTTTGACACGATCTGGAAATGTTATATGTGTTGGTAATTATGGCATCATGGACTTTTAGGACTGGTTAAATACTATGTGCATAACTCTCTTCATAATAATGTTCTCCTTAAAAAGTCTCTGACATTCTTTATAAATTGTCTGTGACTTAGAGTAGTGACATGCTTTCTAGTATAAATTTCTGAATCAGAGGCTATCTATAAATCCACATATAAAACAGCAATTGTGCATTACTTTTGAAAAAGAAAAACTACATTTTATAAAAATCAAAGACAGACTTTAGTATTAAGACTGCTTGTACCCCTTCAAATATATTTATTGAATCATTGAATTGACATTTTCAGTTAATTTGAAAATGGTGAAAGGATTTTTATTTGTGATACATTTCAAACTGCAGTAAAACAAGTTGAGGCCTATAAATACACCCATTTAGACATGTTAGTATTTTTCTCATACTTGCTGTAGATATTGTATAGATATTGTATTTTTGGTAAAGAAAGAAAATCATACAGATGTATTTAAATCTCTTATCCACTTCTAACGTCTCAGAAGTCATCATTATCTTAAAGCTGATGTCTATACTTTCTGTTCCTTTTAAATTATTTACTTAATCTCATATTTTATTATTTGGGGTATTTTGATACTAAATAAAGTTTATTTTAATTTATATATCTTTTGTAACAATCTTATTTTATGCAACATTATTCTTTCCAGATTTATCCATGTTGATAGATAGTTGGTCAAGTTTCTTCCACTTCAACAGCTCTAAATTATTCCGTTGTTTAAATTAATCACAACTTTGTATCCGTTCCTATATTGGTGGACCTTTACATTGTTTCTAATTTTTTATATTGTCACCAATTCTTCAGTGAATATCCTTTCTTCATGGTCAAAAATTTCTCTAGGGAATATATAATTTATTATGTATGTATAATAAAAACATATATGTGTATATATAAACACACACACATACGTACACACATATATTTTTAATATATGTGGGCAGAATTGCTTGTTAACTATAATATTTTCAACTTAACAATAATTTCCACATTTCTCTTCTAAGTGATTGTACAAATTCACGTGCCCATGCGCATAAAAGTTTCTTTTTCTCCATAGTCCATTCACACTTTTAATCTGTTGCTTTTGACTGTGTTGTTGTGCCTACAAAAATTTAGGCTGGTCCCTTAGTCACTGTTTTCCAGTTTTCTCATCTGTAAAATTTGTATATTCTTAGCTGGAGGAATCACCTATAAGGAAAATAATACTCTAAATTCAAATGTCTTTAACTTTCTCATTTAATATTGAGAGAAAAATTAATTGAAAAATAAATATCTAAATTATATTTTGAATTATCTATATATCTACAAGGCACTTCCGAGATATATTGGATTACTGCATACTGAACCAGTCAATTAATAACATTTAATGAGCTCTTTATTTTGGTTCTCAAATTTTGGTGCTGTATGTGAGTAAAGAAAATGTCAAAGTCCTTGCTCTTCATGTAGTCTAGCTAGTCTAGTACCTTCAATATAGCAGAGTTCTGATAGTGTGTGTGGAAAGAATGGAAAGCGAGTCTTTACTACTAATAGCTTAGAATCTAACATGCATAGAAAGAAAATAATTCTATAATAATTTTAGAAAATTACAATTAGGAAGTTAAATATTATATGTTCAATTCATGGCTATACTACATTCTTAGACAACTTTCTTAACCTCTCTGTGCTTAATTTTTTTATCTGTAAATTGTGGATGATTATATTACCCGCCTGACATACTGTGGTAAAAACTAAATGAGTTAATACCTGGGAATTATTGACAATAGGATCTCATACATAGTACCATAAAACATTTGATGCTATTATAGCATTTAAACAAAATATTGACTGTCTTAAGATATTACTCTACTATTTCTAAGTTTAATAGCTCTTTCATCTTTAGCTTCACTGTAGTCCATCTATCCAATACATCTTTTGAAAATGTAACTGCAACAACTAGTGACCACCCACCCTGCCCACCCATAGAAAAATTGATTAAAACCTCTTATTTCTTCCCATTATGCCTTGAAGAGAAATTCAGACTCCTTACTGTGATCTACAAAGTCCTCTGTGGCCAGAGGTCTGACAATCTTCCCAAACTCATCTCTTCCTCAGTCTGTGGCTCAGAGGTTTCAGAAGCTCTTTTGTATTCTTTAACCATGCCAGCGCCTTTCAGGCCTCTAAGCCCATGCACTGGCTATTCCCTCTGCTTTTCCCTAGACCTACACTTGATTTGCTTTCTTATTAGGTTGATGCAAAAGTAATTGTGGAACCATTACAATCAACATGTTTTTGCCACAAGAAATAAGCTTGTTTATTCCTGTAGCGTAAAAATCTATGCCTCGTGATTTAATGAACTCTTAGAAAGCATTTTCTGCATCCTGGTGGTTGTGGAAGTGTTTTCCCTACAAAAAGTTGTTGAGATGGTGGAAGAAGTGGTGATCTGTTGGGGAGAAGTCAGGTGAATATGGCGGATGAGGCAAAATTTCATAGCCCAATTCATTCAACTTTTAAAGCTTGGTTGTGCTACATGCCTTCGAGTGTTGTCATGGAGAAGAATTGGGCCCTTTCTGTTGACCAATGCCAGCTGCAGACATTGCAGTTTTCGGTGCATCTCATCGATTTGCTGAGCATACTTCTCAGATATAATGGTTTCGCTGGGATTCAGAAAGCTTTAGTGGATCAGACCAGTAGGAGACCACCAAACAGTGACCATGACCTTTATTTGGTTTGGCTTTGGTAAGTGCCTTGGCTTTTGTAAGTGCTTTTGGAGCTGCTTCTTGGTCCAACCACTGGTCGTCTCTGGTTGTCGTATAAAATCCACTTTCTGTTGCATGTCACAATCCGATCGAGAAATGGTTCGTTTTTGTTCCGTAGAATAAGAGAAGATGACGCTTCAAAATGACGATTTGTTTTTTCACTCAGCTCATGAGGCACCCACTTATCAAGCTTTTTCACCTTTTCAATTTGCTTCAAATGCTAAACGACTGTAGAATGGTTGACATTGAGTTCTTCAGCAACTTCTTCTGTACTTGTAAGAGGATTCGCTTTAATGATTGCTCACAACTGGTCATTGTCAACTTCTGATAACTGGCCACTACACTCCTCATCCTCAAGGCTCTTGTCTCCTTTGCAAAACTTCTTGAATCATCACTGCACTGTATGTTCATTAGTAGTTCCTGGGCCAGATGCGTTGTTGATGTTGCAAGTTATCTCCTCTGCTTTACGATTCACATTGAACTCAAATAAGAAAATCACTCAAGTTTGCTTTTTGTCTAACATGATTTCCATAGTCTAAAACAAATATAAAATAAACAGCAAGTAATAAGTAATTAACAAAAAAAGCAAGAAATGCACCTTAAAATAATGTATAACATAACCACATTTTTAAAAGAAAGTATTCCAATATCAAATGGCAAATTTCAACAATGCAAAAACTGCAATTATGTTTCCCCTAACCTAATACTATCTTGTGGATGCAACTCAAGTGCTGCCTTTGTATAAGGTCTTCCACTGACCAACATATTTAAAGTTCTCCTCTCCTGCGTTTGACAGTTACCATCAATGTATAGTTTGTTAATATAAACATATTTTAGTATATAATATATTAATCAATTCTATCATATATATATACATATATGCATTTATTTATAAATAAAATATTTAGACCCAGAAAACTATAGGAGAGGCATTCAAGTTTAAATGATAACTAATAAGCTTGAATTCTACTTCAATAGGCCTAGGAGTAAATTAAGTCTGTATAAAATTTTTAAAAAACAGTATACAGAATAACCGTACCTGAAGCATACTACATCATCTACTGAAGAACTGCTTCAATAATATTTAATATTCCATACAACATACTTATAGAAGGTTGACTAACTAAAAGAAAGAAAAAACAATGAAACCTAAAACCTTTCCACTTTAACAATATTCTTAGTTGCTTTATAAAATAATCTTGAATATATTGCCAGTAGATTATTTAATGTCATTCATTTAAAATTCAATGGATTTAGTATTAATTTAAATATAAAATGTAAAAAATTTATTGCAGATAAATGTGAGTAATCAATTCTACTTATAAAATTAAATAAGGGAAGATTCATTTATTTTCTCACCATGTCTCTATTAGTCTGGGAGACTCCTGTCATACTCATAGGGTATGTTATCACCCTATCACAAGTATACATGAGTCAATACCTCTTCCATTTATTTTAAATAGATTCTGTTAGCTTAAAAATTTTATTTTGTAAATTAGATTATAAATTATGCAGAGATTGGAGCACATTTTTGAAGGAAAAATACAAGGTTTCAAAGAAGTGCCTAAAAATACAGAGTTTCTAAGAAGTGTTGACTGGTATGGTCATGGAGAGAACTTTTTCTGAGGAGAAGATACGTGAAATAATTGAAAAAGAATATGTAGGATCTGAATGGGTGATGAGGAAGTGAGATCCTGTGTCACTTTCGGGGAATTAGTTGAAGTAGAATTAATCAAGACATGTTTGTGGAATCATGAAGAGAACTATATGTAATATAAAAAGTGTTGAGTTAAATAAATTTGGCAGTCTATGTACAGGTCTATTTCCTCCTACATCTTCAGTTATGTTACTCTACAATTCACAATCATGACTCTTCAGTATCTTGAAATTCTCAGCAATCAAAGAAAGATTAAATAACTTCTAGTGAATTGCACTTTTAAAGTATACCATTATACTTGGAATAGGTTTTTCATCATAGAAAGTTTTAAAAGACCATTATTCAAAATTTATTTGAGAAGATTATACAAATAATTCAATCTACAGGTAACCAATATTTTGTTGTTGTTTGGAAGCATTTTATTCAACTGTAACGTCATAAGTAAAAGAGTTAAAAAATAAAAAATGCAAGTCCTAGGTAGTAGATAATAAGTTATTTTATTTATTTATTTATTGATTTATTTATTTATTTATTTATTTATTTATTTTTGAGACAGAGTCTTGCTCTGTCACCCAGGCAGGAGTGCATGGCACGATCTTGGCTCACTGAAGCTTCTGCCTCCTGAGTTCAAGCAATTCTCCTCATCAGCCTCCTGAGTAGCTGGGACTACAGGAGCGTGACACCATGCTGAGTTAACTTTTTTTTGTGTGTGTGTGTTTTTAGTAGAGATGGTGTTTTACCATGTTGGTCAGGCTGGTCTCAAACTCCTGACCTCAAGTGATTTGCCTGCCTTCCAGAGTACTGGGATTATAGGCACGTGCGACCATGTATGACCAAGGTGATTCATTAAACATTTCTAATTTTAAAATTTGTGAATAATCAAAACTCATTTTCAAATGTAAAAATATTTTCTTAATTTCAAAGGCAACAACTTTAGTTGTATTCTAACTTTGGTGAGAGTTTTACATATTATCTTAGAAGGTATTTAATTTTTAAATACACTTACCTTTCAATAGGGTCAAAATATTAAAATTATTGAAAAAGATACATATTCCATCTGTACCTGGCATAGAAATTGTTGTGTTAACACTTCGTTAAAATTTAAGTTTCTTAAAATATAGGCAGCTGTGCCTATTCAGCAGTAGGGATTCCATTGGATCTCTATATGACATTCATGTTTCTGACAATTTGAGATTGGCAAAAATTTCAAACAGCTCAATAACAACAAAAAACAAACAAAATAAGCCCATTAAAAAGTAAGCAGAGGACATGAACAAACATTTTGCAAAAGAAGACATACAAATGACCGACAAGCATATGAAAAAAATGTGAGACATCACCAATCAACAGAGAAATGCAAATTAGAATCATAATGAGATACCATATTACACTAGTCAGAATGGGTGTTATTTAAAATGTCAAAAAAATGACAGATGTTGGCCAGGGTATGGAGCAAAGGAAGTGCTTACACACTGTTGATGAGAATGTAAATTAGCACAACCTCTATGGAAAACAGTATGGATGTTTCTCAGAGAACAAAAAATAAATCTACTATTTGATCCAGCAATCCCACTACTGGGTAACTCCCCAAAAGATAATAAATCAGTATATCAAAAAGGTGCCTCATTCATATGTTTATCACAGCACTATTCACAATAGCCAATATATGGAATTAACATAAGTGTACATCAATGAATAATTGGATACAGAAAATGTGGTGTACAAACACACACACACACAAATAGAATACTGATCAGATCTAAAAAGAGTAAAAGCATGTGTTTTGCAGCCACATGGATGGAACTGGAGGTCACTATCTTAAGAGAAATAACTCAGAAGCATAAAGTCAAATACCTCATGTTCTCACATGTAAGTGGAAGCAAAATAAGTATACACGTGGACATAGAGAGAGGGATAATAGACACTGGAGACTCAGAAGAGTGGGAGGGTAGGAGGGAGCCAAGGATGAAAAATTACATAATGGGTACAATGTACACTATTCAGGTAATGGCTACACTGACAGCCCAGACTTCCTCTAATATGTCCATGCAACAAAAGTTCACTTGTAGTCCCTAAATCTATAAAAATTTTTAAAAATTAAAAAATAGATAAAGCACCCATATATACAAATAAGTTCTATGTGAGCCTTTAATATAAACATACAGGTTGTGTGGTCTGTTCAAAAGTCTATTAGGTCATAATAATGAAGACTGTAAGATTTTCAGTTTTTTTTGTTTGTTTTTTTTTTTGTTGTTTTTTACATCTCACAGATTCCAATAGCACAACAAATAAATAAAATATTCATATGCTAATTTTCAGTTTGATTTGAGGCTTTTGACATTTCTGTAGCTTTTTTTTTTTTTTCCAATTTAAGATATATTTGTTGGCTGGGAGCAGTGTCTGACGCCCGTAATCCTAGCACTTTAGGAGGCCAAAGCAGGCGGATCACTTGAGGTTAGGAGTTCAAGACCAGCTTGGCCAACATGGTAAAACCCCATCTCTACTAAAAATACATACACACACACACACACACACACACACACAAATTAGCCGGATGTGGTGGCAGACACCTGTAATCCCAGCTACTTGAGAGGCTGAGGCAGGAGAATTGCTTGAACCTAGGAGGCGGATGTTGCAGTGAGCCAAGTGCACTCCATTCTGGGTGACAGAACAAGACTCTGTCTCAAAAAAAAAAAAAAAAGATATATTTGTTTTCTTCAAAGGCATTCTTTATACCTATATATATATAAGAAATTAAGCATATTCATATAAAATCATGATATGGTAAGATAAACTATATGTTCCTTTACATTATGTGAACCAAATGTGGATATAGTATTCAATATAATAATTCACTTACAATGAAGATTTACAATAAACCTCTAAATAGCTATAGGTCTTTTACCAAAGAAACAAGGCCCATATAGTACATTATATGTATACTGATAAATTTATAATTCCCAGAGGGTCCATGATTTTATTCATAATTTATTATGACTATGATATCGAATGGCTCTCAAGTATCAAATGGGATGCTTGGGAAATTGGAAACCATTTATTTCAGACTTCATAATTTCTGAACTTTATTTTAAAGACAATTAATACCCCAGTTCTTTGAGTTTATGGTATATTAAGTTTTTATTTACTTAAAAGTAAAGTAACAAGAAAGGGAAACATTTATTTTAATTACAAAAGAGCTAAATTATATTTGTATTCATTTTCTACCATTTTAAGGCCAAAAGAATCTTTCATGGGGAAAATATTCAAATTACCAGAATATAACGTATTTTGTTTATAGCTGTAAATAAAATATCAACTACAAGCAAACCACACTTTAAACATTAATTAAAAATCTCAGACTTACAGAGGATGGCAGGAAAAGCTTTATGTTAATATAGCTCTTTTAATTCAATCTGACTGACTTAATTATACTGCTATACTGGGTTGAAATAGACATTTTTATTCTTTTGATAATTTTAAAATATGCAAAACTTACTATTCTTTTCTGAAATAATGGTGCAATCCACAGATTACTAAAATAATATGTAAAAATGCAGAATGATGGTCTAATTTGTTTGCTAAATTCAACTATATATTTCATTTATATTTATGAACAATTTTCTCTGTGCTCTAAATTAAGAACTCTCTGTGGTCCAGAAAAGGTCTCTGCTAAGACAATGAATGAAGAATAGCATTGTTTGCACACAATGATTACTTTTTCAAATTTGGTCAAGATTTTGTTTATATTCATTTTGTTTATATTCATTTGTTGGCCATGTTGAAAAGATCTACACAGACAGATATTTGATCTTAGTTTGGACCTTATATGGGTTTACCAAGCATTTAAAGTTGTGTTGTTTTTTTTTTTCATCTTTCCTTACTTTTCCAAAATCAGAGTTTGTTATTTGCTCACCAATTATAACCAATTATACTCTTTTTTTTAATATAACTCTTGTTTCAGAGACAAAATACCCAAGATATTCTAGACTGCTCCAAACTTACACATCAATTATGTAATGTATGAAAGAATTATTTGATAATGTTCATTAGTATTGATAAGTTTTCAGAGTATAGGGCAATGGGAAAATATTTTAAATTTGGTCGTGATAAGTTTCACTCCAAACTCTATCATAGGCACCTCTCTAAACTCTCCAGTTTAGAGAACCACATTGGAATCATTTCTACTTTTAAATCAGCACATCTCCATGACAATAGACAGGGAGGTCAACACTTGTAATCAGGACTTGCATGTAATGAACTTTGGTCACCTTTGGTTACATAAACCATCTATTAGAATATCTAGAATCCCAGAGCCTTAAAGATGGATGAAAATACAAATTTTTTTCTCACAGTAGATAACATAAAGATTCATAAATTTCACCTCAGTGAATGTCTCCACATTATGTAGTTTGTTAGTGGAAGACAATAATTAAAGCTTTGCTCAACTGACGCTCAGCATATTATCTAAAGATAATATGGCTATTTAAAAATAACATTCATATATGAGAATTTTTAATAACCATTAAACACAGAGGTTGATTCCATCTTTCTTTATATGAATGTTTCTAATCAGATGACTTTAACCACATTCTCCTTCCTCAACTCTGACATATCCACAAATTATTTACTCATCAGATAAACTCAGCTGTGAATCCAACGAGAAGTACCATAAAAGCAACATTAATTCATGCTACGCATTTCTCTTCTTCTTCATATCCATTGTCATTATCCTCCCACAACATTTAGACTAATTCGAATTGATGGACTCAATCAACAAATTAAAAAACAATACTCTCTAGACTTCAGTGATGAAAAATATACATAGTGAAACAATATGTTCTTCCGAAATGGAGCACTTAGTTATCTTTATCGTGCAGAGTGAAAGACAAATTAAGGGAAGAATGCTGTGCAAGCGGTTTTTATTGCTTTTATGATAAGAAGAAGATAGTCCTTATTTGTTTTGATTGAGTGGTGCAAATTCATTGTCCTGCTAGAATTTATTGATTCGGTTAAAAATCAGTGGATGCCTGGTTGAAAACTTACAAGTGTTTTCTTCTGATAGTTTACATTTGCAATTTAAATTGCATTTATAATCTTGTAGCTCATCCACAGCTACAAGGTTCACTTCTCTATCCTTATAGAAGATGTAGAACCTATATTTTATGAAGCAATTTTTTTATTAGTGCTCAGTCGTAATTCATACAATGATTTCTTTTGATAAAGAGGTAAGTGCTATTTATTGTGAGAAAAGTTAAAATGAGAAACTAAGTGCAAAATAATATTTATTACTTATTGAAGGCAAGGGAGAAATTACAATATTTTTACTTGTTTTCATAGTTTTAAATTAGAATTAAATCTTTTTATTGTGATACTCAGGGTACAATTAAAGGCAATCTCCATTTTTATATAAGCTTCTCTTGGTGTTGCCCCTCTCTCTAAATTTCAGAAGTCAAGGTATAATTTTATGAGATTTGGATAAGGATCCCAAATATATAGATGATTCCTTGCGAAATGCAATAAATGCCTATTGTTGGCACAGTGATTTTTTTACTGAAATCATCCTTAATCTCCCTCTATAACCCTCTAATACTGCTAAGAAGTACTTTTTGTGCTTGTTTCAAGTTCTGGTATTGGCTGGACAAGAACACTGTAAGAATAAAATATATATTTTAAAACTACTCTGTATGGTTGCCTTGAGTTAGTATATATGGATTATCTTCATTAAGTTTTAAAATAGACTAATGATGCATAAATAATACTGGAAAAATAATGTTCCTTTAAAATTTTGTACTCTATCTTTCTTTTGGGGTGTTTCAACCAAGAATAGCAAAAATTTTCTTGCCTTGGGAATTCAAAAAAGTCCTGACCCTTTTATTTTCTGGTTATTTTTTGACTCTATTAGCCTCATTTCAACGGAAGAACAAAACCCTGTCACCTCTTTCTGAAGCCGCTGATTTTTTTTCCTCCCTGAAAAAATAAGTCAAGCATGGCAACCAGCAATCATCAAAATCCCCCCATTCTTATACCAGGCACATAGACACTTTTTAACATGAATGACAGGACTCCTCAGCTGTCTGTAGAATCTGTAAATGAGAATGGAGTGCACAAAACTCTTTTCTAAGTTTTTGCTTTTCTTTGCTTCTATAAAGAAGTTCAGTTATTACTATAGGTAGAATTATAATTTGTTTTGGGTTGAAAATAATAATGTTTTTAATATTAATTCTCCGTGTCAACTCTTCCTTGATTTTCATCCCTCATATTTGTTATGGAGCATTGTGATTAGACATATTACTCCCTTTCTCAAGTATGTGCCATCATCAGACCTCGCTTCATGATGCCTTACTTCCTGTGAAACATTTCGAGTAAAAATGCACAGGAACACTGCAGCTCACTGACATCTTCAAAGTTCCAGATTAAGAATGCTTTAAATGGGGAGTTTCCAGACACATTGCAAGTTCATATTGAAAGGAATGGCAAAGTAGAATATTGAGATTTTCCTGGATTACAGATCATCAGAGAATATTCGTAGACACTGTTTTTCCTGAGAATCTTCATTTAGATCACTTCTATTTAAAATGAATTTTTTTTCCTTATTCTTCTTAAGGGCCTGGAATATTTAAAATCACTGATGTATTAGCAGTGCTTTCACATAGGAAAATAAAAGAGATCCTAAAGGAATAAAAATTCCTGGCAATGAAAATATGGAAATTTGTAGTGTTACTTTGTAAGCCTACAAGTAATTATTTATAAACTACATTCATGGTGTAAAGACATGTCATTTATTTATTTAAATTAGTTTCCATAAATTGTCATGCCATATACGAAGATAGTGACATAAAACTTCAAGAGTTATTTTGAAGAAAATCAAAGCACTAATGCAAACAAGAAACAAAATGAAGAGTACATGCTTTTGTTCTTGATTTAGCACAGCATTACAAATAATAGAGAAGTTCTTGTCATTTTGTTTCTAAATGATTTCTTTTTAGTATCATGTATAGTCTAGAATAAGAAATTAGCTAGGTGACAGTCCATACACAAGAAATTGTGAAACTGAACGGGCACAGCTGTAACCATCAACTTCCATCAATAAGTGACTCCAATGTACTCATAAGGAATTAAAACACTTTAAGTTTCAATAGCTTTAAGGACCTATGTACCTCCAAGCCTTATGCAATATATATTAAACTTCTTACCTTTAGTCTTTGTCCCATCGTCATTGCAATATAGGAAACTAATTTTTTTAAACAAAGGGGAATTAGAAAGCAGTCAAAGTATAGCTATTAACCACCAAATTCTGCACCAGACAATTTACAATTGTGAGAATTACCAGCAGCCATTTAAGAAACTTGAGAGAGTGCCAGTAAGTATGTTACTAATTCAGAGACACAACCATCATCTTTGGATTAAAAAAATCACAAGATCACAAGGGGTTTATGAAGCTTCCAATCCACCCACTGTGGAGCCACAGGCATTAAAAGTGCAGCTGGAGTGGATCAAAGCGGTGAAAAAGCATAGCTCTGAAGCCAAGGAGGGAGAGAAGTTGGTAGTTTCAGGTCACAGTGGAGGTAAAGAACTACGAATGTAAAAGTTTAGTTGCATATTAATGTTTTACAAAGATTCTTGGCACTATGTGTGTGTGTGTTTGTGTGTATGTGTGTGTCTAAGATAGATTTCAACAAGTAGTGGCCTTTCTCTACCTCCTTCATGTTGGAATTCCAAGACCATTCATGACCATTGTCAGGGATCTCTCCCTTCCTAACTCCTCTGTGCTAGAGAGGCATAGCAGGCCAAAAAGATATGAATGCAGCCTACCCTTATCCTCACCAGTCAACCAAAGGAAAGGATCACTAAGCAACATAATAAAGGTTATTATACCATGCATTGATAACTGTCTTCCACTAGAGCCATTCCCACATAGACTCAAGAAATCATTTATGTTTATACAAAACTTTTAAGAAAACGAAGAAAAGGACTATGAAGTACACATTAGCAATATTGACATCAATGCAGTACTAAAGCCTGTCAAAGCCTAATGCAGAATATTCTCACAGCACTCATCTCATGTAAATGAAAGTTAGAGAGACATTTGAGAGCAATTTGTTTCCATCTGCAGATAAAGACAGTTTGAGAAAATTGAGAAAATACATACAGAATTGCTTGGCACCTGCCTCATTCTACAGTTAATAAAAGATTCAATAAATGAATCAATATATGAAGGACTGAATGAATAAAGTTGGAGTCAGACAGATAGCTATTAATTTACTGTCTCCCAACTATATGATGGCACATAATGGATTCACTCATTATTCATTTTGAAAAAAATTATTAATATAATTGGAGGACTTTAAACAGTTTGAAAAGATGGAATATTTAAATTTGATGTTATACATACACAATCAAGGGTTGAATTATTGCTTATGATATTTTAGTTTATCACTGCATATACAAACAGTGATTAAAAAGTAAGTCAAGTTTTTCTAAATACCTCTTGAGTAAAAGTGTTAATTCTTAAAGGTTTGTTGAGAAGTTATTGTGTGCATGATCAATTTAATGGAGATATTGGCACACTCCAGGGCTCTATTGTCTACCCTCTCTACAATATTTTCCTTTCTGTCCTTCTGTTTTCCCACTTGGTCCTCAGTTACCATGCTTTCACCTCTGCCTTTGATGTTTGTGTGGTGAGAACACTCTGCCCCCAGATCCATGTTGGCTCCTTCCTGCCATTCAGTTCTTGACTCAACCTTTGTCTCACCAGTAAGATCCTCACTTAATAACCCAATTGGATTTTCAAATCTCTCTCTGTGTCATCCCTTTTCTTTCCTATGAAGCCATTGACATATTTGTAATTAATTACTATTTATTTTTTAACTTATTTAATACCCTGCTTCTTCATTCTTGGATTAGCAAAATGAAGAGAGAGACACCATCTATATTGTCACCACTATATTGACAATAGTAAATAGAGTTTAATGCATAATGGTTGTCTAGTAATACTTTGTTGAAAAAAATGAGCATGAGTCACAGTCATAGAAACTGGTGATAAAAGAGCAAATAAAAGATAGCCTGTCCTTGAGAAGCATATTTTCTATATGGCTCAGTTTTGAATTAAAGAAGTCTTCAGACCATAAAATATATTTTGAAATTTTGTTATGTGAGAAAATCAAAAGACTACTACAGAATAAAATAAAGAACATATACTACTAATGAAAAATTATCTTTAACCCTTTTTATTTTATATTCCTGTATCCCTGGGGTGGGGAGAGAGGGAGAGGAAGAGAGAAAAAAGGAATGGGATAGCATTTTCATATCAATTAGAAAGGTAATACAGCTTCAAATTGTATTTCTACTATCTCTGAAAATTTAAAGATACTTTGGAATATGCCGTATTTCTGAAACCAGACCAAAGTAGGTAGGAGGGATCTTGAGTCAGAAAATAAGCCATACTCCAGAAGGGACGATGAAGTTTTGAGTATTCATTAGCTCATTCATCAACCAGTGAAAATTGCACTTTTAACTTAGACACTTTCATATCTTGGCAAATAACATATTCTACTATTTGAACATTCATTTACACCTTAACTGTGTCAGTGTGTATATGTGAATGTGTGTACACTTATGCAGGAAAGTATTTCCATGTATATAGAAAAAGGATATGAAATATGCATTCCATGGAAATGATATTGTATCTGTCTTATATACCACTGACATCCAGTTCATACCAGTATCTTGTTCAAAAGAATGTTAATAAATAGTTGTTAAATATGTAAATAAGTGATAAATTCAAATTTATATATAACCTTGAGTGCATTTTATGTTCCAAAATGAACTGCTTTTCCATTAGTTTCATATACAAAGCAGAGATGAATTAAAGAATATACATATAAAATCAATTAGAATTAGAAGTCTCATTTGTCCTATGTATATAGGGAATAAAAAGTATTTCCTATAAATGTTAATGATAAGGTATGGGTAGGAGTAAAAACAGAGATGTGGATGTAGATAGGAATATTGCTGTGAATAAAAATAGATATGAATAAAGAATGACAAATGATAGATCAGTAGCTTAGATGGCACAATCATAGATGTGGACACAGAGACAGACAAACTGAAAGAGAGAGACTGAGAGATTGCTTTTAAGAATATTTTATTCTTGTGTACACAAATATCTGATTCCATAATTTTATCTTTGGCCCCAACATTTTTTAAAAATAAAAATATTAGGGCAGACTTCTGTTTCTAGAAAGATAGAGTATATATTTATATTTATCCTGCTAAGTACAACTAAAAAACATGAACATTATATATAAAACAAATATTTTTAAAAATACTCTTAAATGTGAAGAGAAAAAAGTAGACCTACTGGGGACTTTGTGACCCTTGACATAAGGTGGTTCGACTTTCCAAATTTTACTTTGCAGCAAATGTCCCTGACTTGGAGCTCAATAAGTCAACAACTCAGAAACAACAACAGTCAGAGGCAAAAAAATAAAACCAACAAAAGCCCGTTCTTTCTGAACAAATGACCCAAAAAGGGCCAGCCTAGAAACACAGACAAATTTTGACAGAACGTCTTCTATTCCAGACACACACACACACACACACACACACAGACACACACACACACACACACACACACATCTGTGGTCCCATACCCATAAACACCATCAAAACCATCAAAGATGAATGAAAAGCCCAGATTTTCATCCTCAAGAAGCTGCAAAGTGGGTCCCCAATACTCCCATCAGAATGGTGTTAGGGAATGCCAAGTGAGATGCTGGAACTTTCATTATTGTCTAGTAATAATAAGGTCACCACCATCATGGTATCACTGGAGACCTTGTAGGGAGATGGCACTTTCACTTCTGCCCAGTTGAAATAAGAACTTTCCATGTTCAGTTTTCAAAAAGCCAAGTGAGAAGCCAGGATGTGTATCCCCACCTGCAGTACAAGGCAGTAAACACACCTCCCTAGCCTGGGCAATGTCAGAGAAAACCAGATAAAATGAGTGATAAATCAAAAACAAAGTCCTCTAAAATAATACTAAAATGTCCAATTTTCAATGGAAAATCACTCATACCAAGAATCAAGATCTATTAAATTTGTATATATAAAAAAAATTCATAATGATGGCACCAAGATAACAGACATGATACAATTATTTGACAAATATTAAAGTAGCCATCATAAATAACTTCAAACAAAAATTATAAGAACAATTGAAGCAAATAAAAAAATAGAAAGCCTCAACAAAGAATATAAAGTCTCAAGCTTTTCTTGTGTTCAAATGCCATCGTAGAATAAAGCTGACTTCACTTCTGCCAACAGAAAATAAAAAACGAATACATTGCATGGAGTTTATCACCAGCAGTATCTCAGAATTCAAATATAAGGATGAGGTAGTTCTCAAAGTCACAGAGACAAGAAAAACACTCTGAACAGATGGTAAGAGAATCAGATTTCCATGTCCACAGTGCCTCTTCTCAAAATCTTCCCAACACCAAGTGAACTAAAAATTTCTCCCAACTCATTGTTTCTACGCTGGAATAGGTGAGATCCTCCACTATTTTGGGTTCCCTGACAAAGGACTTGTCCTTGCTTCTACCCATGGAAAGCATCACAAATATCTGAAAGGGGAACTATTCCTGAGGATACCCAGAGACAATGGCGGGGAGGTGAGACTACCATTCCAGGCCTGCAAATTTTGCTCTATAACTTGGCCAAAGGAGACACAAAATCAGAGTGGCTCTTCATCAGCATTATGCCATAAGAGGTATATTCCACAGGTCTCCTGGGCATGAAACTCTAGTCAGCCTTCCCACACCACTAGGATATACCCTTTGGGATCTCATCCATTCAGAACAAGCAGTGATCCAATTGTTTACCAAAGAAGAGGCAAACCAGGGCTTGAGGTGTGAGCTGGTGCTGAAAAGGAAGTCATGACCTAGCAAAAAAAAAAAAAAAAAAAAAAAAACCCAACACGTAAATTACAAAAGAATATCTAAGCAGAAATATCCAATTAAAAAAAAAAGAAGACTACAATAAATAACTCATTCTTTAATACAAAGACATACACAAGAAACAACAGCAAAAAGGGAACGATGACCTCCCACACAGACAAAGCAAGGACTCAATGAATGACCCTAACAAGACAGTGACATATGAGCTCTCAGAGCAAGAATTGAAGAGTAAGTTTAAGGAAACTCAGCAATCTCCAGGATAACAAAGGAAAGCAACTCTGAAATTTATCAGAGAAATTTAACAAAGAGATTGAAATGCTGATAAAAAACAAACAAAAATCTGGAAACTGAGAAATATATTTACTAAACTGAAAAATTTATTAGATCCTCTCAAGAGCATGAAAGGATTGAGCAGAGGAAAAAAACTGAACTTCAAGACAGGCTATTTTAAAATATGCAGTCAGAGCTGGAAAAAGAAAGAAAGAATGAAAGGAAATGAAGATTGCCTA
The DNA here is from genome assembly GCF_000001405.40 of Homo sapiens. NCBI lineage: Eukaryota > Metazoa > Chordata > Mammalia > Primates > Hominidae > Homo > Homo sapiens. The sequence goes on along the minus strand of NC_000004.12, from coordinate 130,270,332 downwards.
CAAGATATAGAAAATTACATCAAAAGACCAACTCTAAGAATTACTGGTGTTCAACAGGGAGTGGAGAAAGGTCAAGGGGTAGAAAGCTTTTTAAAAGAAATAATAATAAAAATCTTTTAAAAACTTAAGAAAGATATAAATATCCAGACACAGGAAGGTGAGAGAACATCAAACAGATTAAACTTAAATAAGACTAGCATAAGGCATATAATAATCAAACTTTCTGAGGTCAAAAACAAAGAGAGAATCCTAAAATCAATAAGATTATTAAAAAGCAAGTAACATATAATGGAGTTCCAATGCATCTGACAACAGACTTCTCAAGTGAAACATACAGGCCAGGAGGGAGTGATATGACATTTTCAAATGCAGAAAGAAAACAAACTACCGGCCAGGCACAGTGGCTCATGCCTGTAATCCCAGAACTTGGGGAGGCCGAGGCAGGTAGATCACAAGGTCAGGAGATTGAGACTATCCTGGCTAACATGGTGAAACCCCGTCTCTACTAAAAATACAAACAATTGGCTGGGTGTGGTGGCAGGCGCCTGTAGTCTCTGCTACTCAGGAGGCTGAGGCAGGAGAATGGCATGAACCCAGGAGGCGGAGCTTGCAGTGAGCCGAAATCATGCCACTGCACTCCAGCCTGGGTGACAGAGTGAGACTCTGTCTCAAAAAAAAAAAAAAAAAAAAAAAAAGAAAAAGAATAAGAAAACAAACTAGCTTCTGAAAACACTGTATCCAGAAAAGCAGTTCTTCATACATGAAAGAGCCTTTCCCAGAAAAAAAATAAAAAAGAGCTCTTGCCTCAAAGCAAAGATCAACCCAGATGGCTGCATTGCTAAATTTTACCAAACATTTTAAAAAGTGCTAACACCAATTCTACTTAAACTACTCCAAACAAAATATGAAAAGAGGAAATACTTCCAAATTTGTTCCATGAGGCCAGCATTTTTCTGATACAAAAACCAGACAAGGACACAACAAAAAAATCAATAAAACTACAGGCCATTATCACTAATGAACATAGATGCAAAAATCCTAAACAAAATACTAGCAAATTGGATTTAACAACATATTAAAAAGATCATTTACCATGATCAACTGGGATTTATTGTGTAAATGTAAGCATGCTTCTACATACACAAATCAATAAATATGATACATAACTGAGAAATCTAAGAACAAAAACTCATAATCATTTTAATAGATGCTGGAAAGCATTTGATAAAATTCAAGATCCCTTTATGATGAAAACTCTCAACAAGCTAGATATAGAAAAAAAACATACCTCTAGGCTATATATGGTCCTCAAGGACCTCAGACAAAGCCATGTTCAAAACTATACTGAACAAGGAAAAACAGAAAACCTTTTATCTGAGATCTGAAACAAGACAAGATGACCACTTTCATCACCTTTATTCAATACAATACTTGAAGAACTAGTTAAAGCAATTAAGCCAGAGAAAAAAATAAATAACGAGCATTCAGATTGTAAAGATATAATTCAAATTAGCTTTGCTTGCAGATGACATGATTTTATATTTAGTAAAACCTAGAGACTCCACACAAAATCATTAAAACTAAAAAATTAATTCAGTAAATTTGCTGAAAACAGAACTACATCCATATCAGTAGCATTTATATACACTGACAGTGAGCAATCTGAAAAGAAATAAAGAAAGCAATCCCATCTGTAATAGCTATAAAGAATATGAAATGCCCACGAATCAATCTATCCAAAGAAATAAAAGATCTATACAAGGAAAATTATAAAACACTGGTGAAAGAAGTAGAAGAGAAAACCAAATTTAAAAGATATTCCATTATTATGAATTACAATAATAAATATTGTTAACATGATAATACTACCCAATGTGATCTACAGATTCAATGCAACCTCTATCAAAATTACCAATGGCATTCTTCACAGAAGTAGAAAAATCAATCCTAAAATTTATGTAAAACCCAAAAGACGTCAAGTAGACAAAGCAATCCTGAAGAACAAAAGCAAATCTGGAGGCATCATGCTACCTGTATTAGTCCATTTTCACACTGCTATAAAAAGCTACCTGAGACTGGTTAACTTACAAAGAAAGGAGGTTTACTTGACTCACAGTTCCGCATGGCTGGAGAGGCCTCAGGAAACTTATAATCATGGTAGAAGGCAAAGGGGAAGGAAGATACATCTTCCATAGAAGCAAGAGAGAGAGAAAGCAAAAGGAAGTGCCACACTTTTAAACCATCAGATTTCATGAGAATTCCCTTACTATTACAAGAACAGCATGGAGGAAACTGTCTCCATGATCCAACCCCTCCCACCAGGACGTTCCCTCAACACTTGGGGATTACAATTCAAGATGTGATTTGGGTGGAGACACAGAGCCAAAACATATCATCCCACCCCTGCTCACCACCCCCACAAAATCTCATGTCCATCTTATATTTGAAAGCCAAACATCCCTTCTCAACAGTCCCCCAAAATCCCAGTTATTGAAGCATCAACTCGAAAGTCAAAGTCTAAAATCTCATCTGAGATAAGGTAAGTACCTTTCTCCTATGAGCCTGTAAAATCAAAAACAAGTAAGTTACTTCCAAGATACAATGAGCATACAGGCTTTGCATAAATGCTATCATTCCAAAAGGGAGAAATTGGCCAGAACAAAGAAGCTACAGGTCCAATAAAGTAAAAAATCCAGTGGGTCGATCTCTAAATCTTTAGCTCCAAAATAATCTCCTATTACTGCATGTCTCATATCCAGGGCATGCTGATACAAGGGCTGAGCTCCCAAGGGTTTAGACAGCTCTGCCTCTGTGGCTCTGCAGGGTAAAGTTCCTGTGGCTGCTTTCACAGGCTGGAATTGTGTGCCTGTGTCTTTTCCAGGTATAAAGGGCAAGCTGTCAGTGGGTCTACCCCTCTGTGTCTACAGGACAGTTGTCCTTTTCTCACAGCTCAACCAGGCAGTGTCCCAGTGGTGACTCTGCATGGGGGGCTCCAAACCCACATTTCTCCTCTGCATTGCCCTAGTAGAGGTTCTCCACAAGGTCTCCCTGCAGCAGACCTCTGCCTGGACATCCAGACATTTCCATACATGCTCTGAAATCTAGGAGGAAGCTGTAAAAGCTCTACTTTTGTCTTCTGCACACCCACTAGCCCAACACCACATGGAAGCCACCAAGTTTTGGGGCCTGCATCGTCTGAAGCAATGACCAGAGCTGTACCATGGCCCCTTTTAGCCATGGCTGGAAGTGGAGTGGCTGGGACACAGGGCACCATGTCCCAAAGCTGCACGGAGCAAGGGGACCCTGGGTCCAGCCCACACAACCATTTTTGCCTCCTAGGCCTCTGGGCCTATGATGGGAGTTGCTGTCATGAAGATCTCTGAAATGCCCTGGAGACATTGTCCCAATCATCATGGCTATTAACATTCAACTCTCCATTACTTATGCAAGGTTCTGCAGCCAGCTTGAATTTCTCCCCAGAAAGTGTTTTTTTTTTCTTTTCTACCACATGATCAGGCTGCAAAATTTTCCAACTTTTATGCTCTGCTTCCCTTTTAAACATAAGTTTCAATTTCAGACCACCTCTTTGTGAACATACATGACCTTTACTTCAGTTCCAAGTAAGTTCCTCATCTCCATCTGAGACCACCTCGTAGGCCTGGACTTCACTGTCCATATCACTATCAGCATTTTGGTCAAAACCATTCAACAAGAATGTAGGAAGTTCCAAACGTTCCTACATCTTCCTGTATTCTTCTCAGTTTTTCAAACTGTTCCAACCTCTGCCCATTACCCAGTTTCAGAGTAGCTTCCACATTTTCAATTATCTTCACAGCAATGCCCCAAACTCCCAGTACCAATTTTCTGTATTAGTTTGTTTGCATACTGCTATAAAGAACAACCTAAGACTGGGAAATTTATAAAGAAAAGAGGTTTAATTGACTCAGTTCCACAGGGCTGCGGAGGCCTAAGGAAAGATAATCATGGTAGAAGGTGAAGGGGAGAAGCAGGAACCTTCTTCACAAGGCAGCAGGAGAGAGAGAGTGAAGGAAAGTGCCACAATTTTAAACCATCAAATCACATGAGAACTCACTCACTATCAGGAGAACAGCATGGGGGAAACTGCCCCCAAGATCCAGTCACCTCCTACCAGCTCCCTTCCTCAACTCGTGAGGATGACAATTCAAGATGAGATTTGGGTGGGGACACAGAACCAAACCATATCACTACCTGACTTCAAAATATACTACAAAACTGTAGTAACCAAATCAGCATGATACTGTCATAAAAACAGACAAATGGATCAATGGAACAGAATAGAAAACCTATATATAAATCCATGCCTTTGCAGCCAACTCATGTTTACCAAAGTTGCCAAGAATATACAATGACAAAATGACAGTCTCTGCTTTAAATGGTGCTGGGAAAACTAGATAACCATATGCAGATATGCAAAAGAATGAAATTAGACACTTATATATTACTATATACAAAATCAAAACAAATTAGTTTAAAGAAAAATCTAAAGCTTGAAACTATGAAAGTAGTGGAAGAAACATTGGGAAAATGCATCAGAACATTGGTCAGAGCAAAGAGTTTTTGGGTAAGTACTCAAAAGCACAGGCTACCAAAGCAGAAATAGACAAATGGGATGATATCAAGCTAAAAAGATATCAAGAAAGGAAACAGTCAATGGAGTGAAGAAACAACGTTCTCACAGAATGGGAGAAAATATTTTTATAATGTCCATCTAACAATGGATTAATAACCAGAATGTATAAGGAACTCAATTAAATAACATAATAATAATACATAATCTGTTTGAAAATGGGTGAAAGATTTGAATGGACATATCTCAAAAGAAGACATATGTATGATGAACAGATACATGAAAAAAATGCTCAGTATCACCAATCATCAGGGAAATGGAAATCAAAATCCTGATGACATGTCATTTCACTCCAGTAAAATGGCTTTTATAAAAAAGACAGGAAATAACCGTTGCTGGTGAGGAGGTGGTGAAAGGGGAACCTTCTTACACTATTGGTGGGAATATAAAGTACTACAGCTGCTATGGACAATATATGGAGGTTCCTCAAAAAACAAAAAAATAGAAATACCATAAAATCCATGTCTCACTGCTGAATATATACCTAAAAGAAGAAAAGTTGCCAGATGCAGTGGCTCCCGCCTGTAATCTCAACACTTTGGGAGGCCAAGGCAGGGGGATCAAGAGGTCGGGAGTTTGAGACCAGCATGGCCAACATAGTGAAACCCCGTCTCCACTAAAAATACAACAAATTAGCTGAGGAAGGTGGCGAGTGCCTGTAATCCTAGCTACTCGGGAGGCTGAGGCAGGGTAGTCACTTGAACCCGGGAGGTGGAGGTTGCAGTGAGCCAAGTTTGTGCCACTGCACACCAGCTCGGGTGAAAGTGTGAGGCTCTGTCTCAAAAAAAAGAAGAAAAGTCAATATATGTAGGCACCCCCATATTTATTATAGCACTATTCACAATAAGGAAAGTATCGACTCAATCTATGTGCCCATCAATGGATGAATAAAGAAAATGTGCTGTCTATACACAATGGACTATTATTAAGCCATAAAAAAAGAATGAAGTTCTGTCATTTTCAGTAACATGGAAGGAGCGGTAGATAATTACATTAAGTGAAATAAGGCAGGCACAGAAAGACAACTATTACTATTACATGCTCTCACTGACTTGTGAGAGCTAAAAAGTAGATTTCATGAAGATAGACAGTAGATTGTTGGTTACTAAAGTCTGGGTAGAGAGAGGAGGAATAAAGAGAAGTTGATTAATGGGTACAAATGCATGGTTAAATAGAAGAAATAAGACAAGGTGTTCAATAGAGTTATAGGGTGACTACAATAAACAATGTATTGTACATTTCAAAACAGCTAGAAGAGAATAAGTTCAATGTTCCCAGCATGAAAAGAAGATACTTATTTAAGATGATAGATATCCCAGGTACACTGATCTTTACACATTACATAAATTTTACACATTACAAATCTTTACACATTACATAAATATATTAAATTATCACAAGTACTCTGAAAATATGTACATCTAGTAAGTATCAATAAAAAAATGCAATCTCATGAAAAATTAGAAGATAAAAAAAACCGAATGAAAACTTTAGACTTGAAAAACTTAAAGAAAAAAATAATTTTAAGTTGAATTGATTTATCTTGAGAATTCTACCAAACTTTAAAAGAAGAATCAGCAAAAATTATGTACAATCTCGTCCCACAAACAGAATAGAATAGTTCTTAATTTATTTATGAAGCTAATAGTACCCTGATACAAAATCATAAGTTGACAGGACAAAGTAGAAAAAATGACTGTTCAACATTACTTCTGAATAAAAAAGAAAAGTTTCTAACAAAATATTGGCAAATATTGTTCAGCAATATATTAAAAATATTATACAACATGGCTAAGTAGGATTCACTCTAGGGTTGCAAATATGTTTTAATGTTTGAAACTCATTCTGTATAATCTACCACGTGAACAGATCAAAGAAAAAAAATCACATGATCATAACAATTGATGGCAAAAAGCATTTGACAGAATTCAACACCTATTCATGATAATTATTTTTAGAAACTTCTTTACTATATATAGAAATATATAGTAAGTTCCTGAATGTGAGAAGGAACACCTACAAAAAAACTATTGCTAATATATACTTAATTATAACATACTGAATAACTTAAGGATCTGCATAAAAGCAAAGCATATGTTCATTCTCCCCAATTTTATTCAACATAGTTCGGGATTTTTAGCCAACACATAGTTCGGGATTTTTAGCCAACACATAGTTCTGGATTTTTAGCCAACACAATAAGCAATAAAGGGACATATAATGCACCCATTTTAGAGTGAGAAAAACAAAGCTGTCCCTATTTGCAGATGGCAAAATTGTCTACATAGAAAATCCCAAAGGATCTATAAAAAACAAAACTCTTAGAACTAATAATTGATTATCAATTTAAAACTTGTACTCATTTCCAATGGATGAATTTAATGCTATAAATTTATCTTCAGCAAAGTGGCAGGATATAAAATAAACATGCAGAAATCAATTGTATGTCTGCATTCTAGCAGTACATATTTGAACACTAATTTAAAAATACAATGCCATCTGTAATTGGCAGAAAAAAATACTTTGGTGTAAGTCTGCCTAAACTTGTATGAGATAAGAATGCTGAAAACTATACAACAACATTGACAACACTGATGAATGAAATCAAAGTAGATCTAAATAAATGGAAAGACACATTATGTTCCTGAATTGGAAGATTGACAATACTCAGAGATGTTAGTTCTTCCAAACTGATACAGAGTTTGAATGTAATTCCTATAAAAATTTAGGCACAGAATTGTTTAGGTATAGGCAAGATTATTCTGAAAGGTATATAGAAAGATAAATAAGTTAAAATAGCTAAAACAGTTTAGAAAAAGAATAAAATGGAAGAAATTCATCCAATTAAATTTGAGACTTATTGTCCAGCTACAGTAATCTCAACTATGTTATGTTAGGGGACAGATAGATACCTTTCATAGTCACACATCAATGGAAAAATATATAGAACCCAGATATAAACCCTCACAAATGTGCCCAACTGAATTTTGATAAAGTTGTAAAAGTAATTCAGTGGAGGAAATTTAGCCTTTTCTGTAAGTGGTGCTGAAACAATTGGTTATGCATAGGTTTTTTTCTAAAAAAAATAATGATTTTACTGTTAACATAAAACTGTTTTTAAAAATAAAGTCTATTTAAGAAAATGACTCCCAACTTAAATATTGCAGTTTATTTTAAAAATTGACTCAAAATTAATAAGGGATTTAAGTGTAAAATATACAACAAAATATTTTAAAAACATTCATAGAAAAAAATCTTTAGGATCTGGGTTTACATAGAATGCTTTTATATTTGACATGAAAAAAAATCACCATCCATGAAAGGAAAGCTATATAATGAAATTAGATACTTAGAAACCACGTATCCAACAGAGGACTAGCATCTAGAACATAAAAGAAACTGAAAATTCAATTTAGAACATGGGCAAAAGATATTTCACCAAAAAAGGCATGCAGGTAGCAAATAAGCTCAGATAAAGATGTCGTACATTATTAGCCATATTAGCCATTAAGGAAATTAATATAGAACCACAATGAGCTATTACTGCACACTTATCAGAGTTGCTATAATAAAAATTATTACGGTACAAAATGTTGATGAGGATGTGGAGAAACTATATCACTCATACACATTGTTGGTGGGAATGTAAAATCAGTTTAGTGGTTTTTCTTAAAAAAAAAAAAACTGAACATACAACAACCATAGACCCAGCAACTACACTTCTGCATATTTATCACAAAAAATGAAAACCTATGTTCACACAAAAACTGGACACAAATATTTATAGCAAATTTTGTTGAAGTAGTCAAAGTTTGAAACAACCCTCATGTCTTTCTATGGGTGAATAAACAAATCCATTCCAAAGAATACTGTTCTACTGGGAAAAATAGAAGAAGAAAAAGAAATGTTGACACATCCAACAACCTAGAGGAATTTTCAGGGAATTATGCTAAGTGAAAAAGCTCGTTACAAAAGTTTACATGCTGTATGATTCCATTTATTCAACGTTCTTAAAATGACAGAATTTAAGAAATGGGAAGCATGTTAGTGATTGCCAGGAGTTAGGTGTATTGTGGGGGAGTGAGAATTATTTGTGGTTTACAGTATCATATAACACTAGAAGTTACCGTTTTGGTGGAAATGTTCTTTATCTTTGCTGTTTTGTGTCGATATCCTGGTGGTGATACTGTACTACAGTTTTGTAAGATGTTATCATTGGGGGAAACTGAGTAAAGGCCAGTTTCTCTGAATGAAATCTGCATTTCTCTATATTTCTTATAATTTCATGTAAATTTATAATAATCTCAAAATGAAAACTTTAATCAAAAATAATTTTTTTAATTGTGATGGCAATTTTTTGGTGTCAGTATGACTGGGCCCCAGGGTGCTGAGACAAGTGGCCAAACATTAGTCTGGCTGTGTCTGTGAGATTGTTCCTGGATTAGATCAGCGTTTGAATCCTTACACTCAGTAAAGCAGATTGCCTTCTCTAATTTGGATGGGCCTCATCTAATCAAATGAAGACCTGAGTAGAACAAAAAGTCTGATTAAGAGGGAACTCCTGCCTAACTGCCTGAGCTGGAGCTCTGGTCTTTTTCCACATTCAGACTCATACTCAAACATCAACTCTTTTTGATTCATGAGCCTGCCAGCTTTCATATTGGAACTATACTATTAACTGTCTTAGTTCTCAAGCCTTCAGATTCAGATTGGAACTATGCATTGGCTCTTTTAGATTGCCAGCTTGCCAACTGCAGTTCTTGGGACTTCTCAGCTTCCACTATCAAGTGAGCAATTCATAATAATAAATCTTTTTATATATATGCATACATATCTATCTTATTGATTCTATTCTCTGAAAACCCTGAAACACAAAAATATTAGGAAGGTATTTTAAGTATATAACTTAGCTTCTAAAAAAACAGCACTGCACACTCCTTTTTATATATTCTCACAAGAAAAAAAAGTAATTAGAACATTATTTTTACTTGATTAATATTGTGTGTGTACGTTTGTGTGTGTGTGTGTGTGTGTGTGCGCATATGTGTGTATGTGTAAAGCCTAGTAACAGATGTTTTTGGTGTGAAGTTAGAGGCAGCTAACGAGAAGTAGGAAGGTTTTAATTAATAAAACACATACCCATAGAAACTTAAGATACAAAAGGGGCAGTTGATCCTTCTTAAATAAATGCCTGTGTTCATTACCTATTCAGATCAGCATGTGGCAATTTTTATTTGTCAGTGAAAATCAATCAACCTCCACTTAAAAAAGAGGTAGACTATTTTGGGTCATCAGTATGATTCAAGTGGTATTCTATTTTAGAAAAGTCATTTCTTTTTAAAGATGTTTTTAATATTCATGATTTGAACATTTAATTATGGTTGATATTAAATAAAAAAGAATGAGAGCACATTTTGACTTGCAAAGTTTGTAGTTCACTAAGAATTCATTAGGCCATATTCAGTAGTATATAAGTAAGTCTTCAGCTTTATGAAATTCAGGTAAAGTCTATTTAACTATTGATAAATCTAATTGTAAAACTTTTTTAAAGTTTTTTTTTAAAAAATAAGACAAAATTATAGGCTATGGCTCTATTAAAGTGAGTATAATTTATATTTAAGCAGTGTTCGTGTTTCTTATAAAAATTTAAATGAAACTTCTGCACATCATTTCCACATCATGAGATACCAAATTCAGATTTTCTTGAAAAATACTACAGAAAGGTAAAGAATATTTCAAAGTCTGGGAGATTTTTATTCAAATCACTCATCCCTACCTATTCTGGCCTCTACAAGACAGTAACACACAGCTGCTACTCATTTTGAATGTCTAGTAGATGCCAGGTAATTTATATGTGGTATCTCATTCTACTCTTATAATAATTCAGAGATGAAAATACAGTTGACCTCATTTTACAGATATAGGATGAGGCTCAGACTACTTGTAAGTCCTTGGGTAGTTACCTACATTTTCTTAGTTTTAGTTTTTTCATTAATGAAATAGAGAAAACCTCATCTACCTCACTTTATTATAAATTATAAGCAACATAATATGTGCAATACATGAAACTCAGTTCTGTGAACCTAATAATCACTAAATAACAGAATATCCCTTCCATTTTATTTAAAATACTCTTCAGGTTCACTTTATACTCAGAAATAAGTCAGGATCTGTCTATAATGCCAGATTAGGAGACAGAACATTCACTATGCGGCTGATCAGGGTTGAGAGTTTACAGAGTTAGGTTACCTGACTGGGTCAACTTCATGTGCAGCAATATGTCTCCCTTTAAAAATAACTATGATGTATGAAGAATTAAATGATCCATCCAGGACTTTGATTTTCAGGCAGAGAAAGTTTGTTTCTTATGGTATGCCATCTGTAAGAAACGGCAAACAAGAAAAGGCATTGTGCCTTGTACATTTATCAAATTAAAAATAAAGTCTTGGATTCATATTAAGATAAAACAAAATTTTTAAGCTTCCTAAAATTCAAAACTAAAGACTTTTTATGCTTTAATAGTCAGAGCAGCACTAAATGACTCCCCTGGGCTCACTGCTAATTTTAAAGCTCTTAGACATTAGGACTGGATTTCAAGGAAGGTATGCTACTGAATTCATTCTTTTTCCTTTCCATAGGGACACCAATAAGTCTTCAAGGTTTAAAGTCAGTCAGCTCAACAGACCATGACAAGTCTTGAATCTTCTCGATGCATACAAAAAACACATTAAGAACCTGTTTGACAGGGCTGTGTTGAAAATGGCTTTGAGCAAATCTTTGATTATTTAAGATTCTTAAGTCCTAGAACAACAAAGCAATCTCCTATTTATCTCAATATTCTGAAATTTTTAATTTGTAATGTGAGTCCTGAAAATCTGAGACTGGTCTCAGTTCATTTAGAAAGTTTATTTTGCCAAGGTTGAGGATGTGCACCCCGATACAGCCTCAGGATGTCCTGAGGTCATGTGCCCAAGGTTGTCGGGGCACAGCTTGGTTTTATACATGTTAGGGAGACATGAAACATCGATCAATAGATGTAAGATGTACATTGGTTCCATCCAGAAAGCCGGGACAATTCAAGCAGGGAAGGGGCTTCTAGGTCACAGGTAGGTGAGAGACAAAGGGTTGCTGAGTTTCTGATTAGCCTTTCCTAAGGAGGCGATCAGATATGCATTTATCTCAGTGAGAAGAGGGATGACTGAATAGAAGGGGAGGCAAGTTTCCCCCTAAGCAGTTCATAGATTGACTTTTCCCTTTAGCTTAGCGACTTCGGGGCCCCAAGGTTTCCAAGATTTATTTTCCTTTCACAGTAAATACACTTAGGAACATGGTGAAAGATATTTTTTAGATTCGTGTAGCTGCATCTCAGATTAATGATATCTTACATAGCAATCTGCATTATTTTCTAGTGATATGTAATTTCTGATGTCATTATTTTTGTACAAGATTAAATAACCAGTGCGTGACTTTTTGATCTTAACGAATAATCTAAATAACTTTTTAATTTATAAAATCATATGCTTACATAATGTGTGGTTACACATGATGCATTATGTGTGAGGTAATGCTCTTACCACATTTGCTTAAATTATCATTAAATATCAAAGAAGTCACTGTAATTTGAAACATAAATTAATGCAAAGGGAATTTTCTACCTCAAGATAATTAATGAGATTTTTAAATTACACCAAAAATAAATTTCATATGTCTTTCAAAGTATAGTTATTTTAGCTCAATTAAAATTGAATAAGAGGTAGTTTTAATCACATAAGTAAAGACCTGGCTCTGTGATTCGAGGAATGCAACTAACAAGAATCAAAAATATTTTGCCTGTCTGGATATTTCAGGCAAAGGTGTCTTTCAGCTAAACTTGTTTTGGAAATTCCTTCAATGGAACTGGCATAAGAGATATTCTAGGCAATGTGAATTATCAGTTTGGGCTGATGTAGATTCTATTTGCATCTAGAACATACAGGCACATTGAATAGACTGATCATGACAAATTCAGCTGTAGCATAGCATGGCCAAAACCCACCATAAAAAAGATGCTTGCACACTGAAACAAAACTAGAAAAGAAAGAAACATAGCTTTTGACAAATTACTAGGCATTTTATTTTAGGTAGTCACTTCCTTTAGAATGCCACTAGGGTTTTACTGGCTCCATTATCTTTAATTTCCCATAGCAGTGATTCATTCACGTTCCCTTATTCAGGCTTCTAAGATGAGTGGCATGAATCAGAGAGATGCCTTGAGGGATGATTAGGAAAGCATTTGCCCAAGGAACATGGTCACGAGTTCCTTGAGGGATTGAACTCATGTTCTTGGTCTCCTTAATATCAGGCTCTAAAGAACTGTGATAACTGGCCAGATATTACCATTCTATAAACTCAATTAAGCTATTATTTCCTAGAAGAACTTAGAAGGACACTTTTCAGCTTCATATGCCTTCAAAGCTCTCTGAATTTAAAAACAAAGTTTAAGAATATTAAAAGCACTAAAATTTATCTTGATTTCCTACAAGTGATATGTTTCATTCTACATTTAAACTAGGTAAAAGGCAGTCAGATAAACAGAAGGTTTTTTTTTTCTTCTAAACAGCAAAATGTTTATTTTGGTAGATAATCTCTTTCCTTAGTATGCCTTCATTTTCTATACTTTAAAATAAGAAATTTAGAAGCTGTGATGTTTCCTAATAATTTCTATAATAATATATTTTATTTTCTTTATTTCTTTGTCCTTTCGCAGACAATTTTCATCCGTTTGGCTAATAATGTTCTTTGCTTACCATCGCCCCTGACTTTCCTTTTTTACTTCCACAATAAAAAGATAGAAATAAAATATGTATTTTAACCAAATATGAAAAGGTGATCACAGTCTTTATATTTTCTTCTTTTTGGTAAGCTAGCTTGCCATAACAGAAGTTTTTGCTTACCAAAAAGATTTATTTCAAATTAGCAAAATTTTCAGAACAGAGAAAATGTGAACTTAATTTTTTTCTACTAATAAAGGGATTAGTTCACATAACGTCTCTCCTACATTATGTGGTGTTTGTAAGCAAGTGCAAAGTAAGCAAGATTGTTATTTAGCAGTAATAACCTATGTACAAACATCCATAAATAAAGAAATCAAGTATTCCAGGTTCTATGAGCCTTATTTATATAACTGAGTATGATATCACTAAAATTTACACTTTTGAGGTATCTGAAGAATACATAACATTGCTTTAAGAATGTGTGTGCCTATATATGTGCTTAGTTTATGAATTGACATTGTCTTATAAATTCTGATGCTGTACTGTACTTCATTGTAGGCATATATTATCATTTACCTACTCCCTTAACTGATAATAAACACCTAGACTCAGCCTGGGCACATAGCAAAACCTAATCTCTACAAGAAAATACAAAAATTAGCTGAGCATAGTGGTACCTGCCTGTAGTCCCAGCTACTTGGGAGGCTGAGGTGGGAGGATTGCTTGAACCTGGGATCGCACCACTGCACTTCAGCCTGGGTGACAGAATGAGATCCTGTCTGAAAATAAATAAAAAAAAAATAAAATAAGTAAAAATCCTAGATTGTTTTCACATCTTTTCCACTTGCAAACAATGTTCATATTGGTTTTTATGAGAACATAAACAAGGATTTTGCTGGTACTAAATGTATTAAGGTCTACCAAATGGCTTCCTAGAATGGCTGCCCTAGTTATACTTCTCAAATACACACATGCCTGCACCCATACACAAACATAGTGTATAAGTTTAGATCTTATAGACAGTTGGATTTTTATTCAATATCATATTTTTATTTGCATTTTGAACTTTAATTCAATATTTTTATGGATTAAAAAATTAACATGAAAGAAAAAACTATGAAGTTAGAGAACACATAGAAGAAAAATAATTTCTTAACATGCAAAGGGGGAATGCATAAGTCCTGAAAAATTTTATCACCTAATTTAATAAAATTATCTCTAAATTAAAACCAATATCTAGATATTTTATCAAGCTAATAAAATTGGGTTTTTCTTTAGTTCCTGGTAACACACCTCAAATCTCATGAAAGGTAATTTTAGAAAATCTATCCTGAGCATTGCACGAAAATAATCCACTGTTTCATGTATTGTTGGTTCCCCAGTTTGACTATACTTGTCATGAAACACTTAAAAGTTTTATTCATGAGTAAATACTTAAGCTGACAGTATATAGCTGTTAAAATAATAACTATTATATTTTGAAATATGTTGACACCTTAGGGGATAGAGAAGTCTAGAAAACATGTCCTACCCAGAAGTTACACATTCTCAATGCCCAAAGAGAAGGCAATAACATACATGGTTTCTCTCAGGTTAATTTGATTGATTTTGATAAATTGATCACAAAAATCAAATAGTTTTTTATTTCCAAAATGCCAATTAATCTCTTTATACTGAAATATCCTTTAAATATATGTTTCATTTTCATTGCTTCTCTTTCAATGTCCACACAAGAAAAGATAATGTAAGCAGTGGCACATGTTATTATAATAATAATTATAACACTGTAAGCATATTAATAATAATATAGTGATAGATACATTTATTAACTACCTACTGCATATCTAGGACTTTGTCTTTATTACCTCATCTAGTCTTTAGAACATCACAAAATAGGGATTATTATTACCATCATCAGAAAAAAAAAGCACTCAAATAGGTGGAGTAATTTGACAAATGTCTCACTCCTTATAAGAGACAGAAGCTTGACATGATGGTTCACACCTGTAATTCCAACACTTTAGGTGGTTGAGACAGGAGGATCACTTGAGCCCAGGAGTTCAAGACCAGCCTGAACAACACAGGGAAACCCTGCCTCTACAGAAAAATAACAAATAAATAAATTTGGCAGGTGTGATGTTCATGCCTGGAGTCCCAGCTACTGAGGAGCCTGAGGTGGGAGGATCACTTGAGCCCTGACGGTTAAGGCTACAGTGAGCTATGATTCCACCACTACACTCCAGCCTGGACAACAGAGTGAGACCCTGTCTCGAGAAATAGAAATAAAAAAATAGGCAGAGCCAGAACACTATGATTTCCCCAACTGTACTTTTTTCTCTCTATGTACACTTTCAGACATAATCCTGTGAAGGTTAATTTTATGTGTCAACTTGACTAGGTCATGGGGCCCAGATATGTGTGGTCAAACCTAATTTTGGTTGTTTCTGTGAGGGTGTTTTTGGCAGGGCTTATCATAAATTGGTGGACTTTGTGTAGATTGTCTTCTATAATGTTGGTGGCCCTCATCCAATTAGTTAAAGATCCAAATAGAACAAAAGGCTGACCTCCTCCAAACAAGAGAGAATTTTGTCAGATGATAGCCTTGGAAATTGAACTGAAACATCAGCTATTCCCTGGGTCTGCAGCAAGCCTGCCTGCCTACCCTGAGTAATTGGGACTTGCCAGCCTTCATAATTGTGTGAGCCATTCTTCAAAATGAATTTTTCTTCATAAATAAAAGATAGATAGATACCTACCTACCTACTTACCTACCTACTTACCTGCATACATGCATAGATACATAGATTCTATTGGTTCTGTCTTTCTGGAGAATCCTAAGACAAATCTTAGCAGTTATAGATGTGTTTGTGAACTCCAAGTAGCTTTATTTTATTAACTCTTCTATTTTATTATTAATTCTTTTATTTTTCCAAACAAGAAAGTTGAGACTCAGAAAGCTAACTTAGCTGAGGTTATATAGTTTTAGTATCAAAGTCAAGATGAGAGACCATTTTCTTTTTCTTACAGGTCTTTATACTTTCTCCTAAATTATTACCCTTTTGCAACATGAACTATCTTACAAGGATAACAAAAGACTTTGTAACTCACTTTATTACGCAGGTAACTGACAAGTGATTACATGATGTTTTTTCCTCACAAATAGAAAGGTGTTTCACAGTTTTATAACTCTGTTAAAGTTATTACTTAAAATTTCTTAAAAGCAAATTAGCAAGCAGAACTTGCTAATTCAAGTTCTGATTATGTTAATTTAAATGATAAATATATTATTCTTTCTCCGCCTCCTCCTTTTTCTCCTCCTCCTCTTCTTTTTCTTTGTCTTCTTTTTTTATTTAAAAAAATATGATTTTGTCATGTAAAGTAACCACATTTTTTTCCTCAAAATCTCTGAAACTTTATTTTATAATTTTATTGTTCGTTTAGTCCAGGCAAGAAAGAAGTCCAGACTAAGACTTTGTTGTCAACTGTTCTGTGGCCAACCTGTATTTGCTTTATCACTGCAAATGGATTCTAGATGTTTACCTATTCTCCTATTCTTACCCTTCATATCAGAGGAGATAACATAAATTCTCTCTATATTTCCTATATCTTATTATTTAGTTGAATCAATTATTGTCTTGTCTTATTTATTTATTGGTAAAGAAGGAGTTTCACCATTTTGGCCAGGCTGGTCTAGAACTCCTGACCTCAAATGAGATGTCAGCCTCGGTCTCCCAAAGTGCTGGGATTTCAGGCGTGAGCCACCACACCCAGCCTCATCTCTTTAAATCATCGGTCAAATATTTATTTTTAATACTGACATTTTTAAGCTACATTTTAAGCTATGTACATATCAAAATCTTTGCCCCACTATGTATTTCTGACAGGCAATTTCTTTGACCTCAAATAAAAACCTCCTGTCTACTTTATGTATAGTTCATATTGTAGGATTAAAGTTGTGGACAGAAACTCTTCAATAAATTCCCTGTAAAATAAAAAAGTGCAGGAGTGTTTTGCCTTAATATGGCCAGCACATTCTTCTGAAAGATCTTAGGTCTTTATACTTTGATCAAGGCCCCTATCACCAGCCAAAAAGGGATGCACTAATAATTTATGACCTTATTTTTTCTTTCATGAATTGGTGGTTTATCTTTTTTGGGTGGTAACAGTGACAAACATTAAAGAAAGACCTTGGAGATTTTCTACTAATCTATTCTCCAAAATGAAATATAAACCTTAGTTTTACTAAAGAGAGGCTGTCTATATTTATATTTATTTACATTTTTCCTGATGCTTGGGGATTTCCACACAATATCAACATAGTGTGTAAATTTAACATGATCTCAAGATAAAAAGCTGAATAAAAAGGACATTAACAATTTTCAGGAAGTCATTTTAATTCAGTCAAACTGTAACAAAAATTAATAGTTTTCAGGTTGAATTTTAATAAATGATTTTAGCCTCAGGGCCAACAAAAATATCTGTCTGGGATGACAGATACTTCTGAGTTTAAACCATCATGATGAAGTGGCCATAGCAAAGGCTAATGAAAGAGAAGCTATTAGTCTTTAAATTTTCCTAAGGAAACGCTACTTCTTTATCTTTGGATCTTCCACACTTAGCATAATCTGTAAATATATTTAAACGCATAACTTTAAACTTTCCCATTCTTCATGTCTACTTTACAAGCCTTTCTATATTCTATTTGTTCTAGATACTGTGCCAAGTTGGGAAATGAATCAAAGACACAATCTAAATTTAGATCAAAACGTTTAATATATTTGCTAATCATACTTTCTTTGGACCATCAAAGAGAATGAGGTAATTGAGCTTGTAATAGAATTTACTAATTTTTAAAAGAATGAAAAATTTCAGAATCAATAGACAAAATCCTTTATTTTCCAAAGAAGAAACTTGAGACTCAGAAAGCTAACTTACTGAGGTTATAGAGTTTTAGTATCAAAGTCAAGATGAGAGACCATTTTCTTTTTCTTACAGGTCTTTATACTTTCTCCTAAATTATTACCCTTCTGCAGCATGAACTATCTTATAGGGATAACAAAGGATTTTGTAACTCACTTTATTATGCAGGTAACTGACAGATGATTACATGATTTTTTTCCCCTCACAGATAGAAAGGTATTTCACAGTTTTATAACTCTGTTAAAGTTATTAATTAAAATTTCTTAAAAAGAAAATGGAATATTTGCCAATTCAAGTTCTGATTGTGTTAATTTAAATTATAAATGCATTTTTGAGTGTCATCATGTATATTTAAGACCTTCTGATTGTTGAAGTACAAGGAATTGGAGAAAAGATAAGTGTACTTCAAATGGTAATGCACTTCACATTTTTAGTGTAATGCTTTAACCCAATGTTTATCTTTAATCCCTTCATAATCCTTTAAAAAATGATGTCTATGACATGTTAGTAATAAACTACGTTAGTTGCTTATAAATTTATATGATCTATAATAGGATTTTCCAATACTATGTCAAAAGCATTTATTTCATAACTCCTTTTAAGTTCCTAACATAAGAACACTTTGTACAAGTAATTAAGGGAATGGAACATACCTAAATTTAGTTACATTCTAAAATCATTCAATTTAATAAATTATACATCTAGCTACTATGTGACCTTTGAAAAATTTTGCAATGTAGCCAAGTGATCAGGAAAAAGGGTTGTCCTTGAAACTGATGTGATTCTTAAGGATATAGAATACTTTTAATACATCAATAATTAACTTAAAATAAAATTGGTATTCTCTCCTTCCTGTAATTTTGAATGCTGTAGTTACAGTAATACACATCCTTGACCTCTCAAGCTGCCAGGTAAGGAAATTTCGCTTTTGCCTGCTAGATTCTTGACACTATATTTGGCAGGAGCTAACAAGTTTGAGAATTGGGAAATGACCAGACATACTTAGTGAGAGAGAGTGGGGGTTGTGGGGGGAAGCAGATAGATACAAGGGGACAAGAATTTTAAGAAAACTAGATATAGATTGCCAAAAAATAGAAATAAGAGAAGCAAAAGAAGATCAGTTGCCATGGGACTAATGGCAGATACATGAAATAGACTAGTTACTGGTATTTATGGAATGCTTGTTATTCTTAGTTCTAAGTAATTTTTCTGTGCTTCGAATCATTTAATTTTCAGAACAACCCTAAAATATAGGTATGTTTAGTCTTATTTTTCACAAAAGGAATGATATTCACCAAAGGTTACAAAAAGTGTTTAAAGTCACAACTACTTATTAATGTAGAAATTAGAACTCAAATCCAGATATATGACTCCAGAGTTTACATTTTTAACGAAGACACCAAGAAAGATCTTAGAAAAAATTATGTGGTATTAAAGTGCAATTCTTCTTTGAAATATTGAGAAACTATTGGCAAAATTAAGAAGTTAATCTAAAGAACTTCTTGATTGTGGTTTATTTAATGGGATAGCATGCCAATACTGTGTCACATGGTAGTTCATCATTATAAAAATTACATATATATTATTTGATGATACTTATCTAATATCTTAATGTAATGCACTTGGCATGCCAGTGAAATTAATCAAATCAGTTACAATTAATTTTATTGAAATGCCTTACAATTTTACTCTATTTACAGTACATATATACTTAATGTCATTCAAGAACGACAACACACACCTCTATCCATGATGTTCCAGTTGTACTTGTCATACTGACAAGAAACTTTCTATAAGGAAGGAATAGATACTTAGTATAGTAGTGGAACATTATTAAAGATATCAACCAATCTACATTACACACACATACACACACACAAACAATAGAAACCAACCCAATTGTGTTTCATGAATCTTAAAAGATTGCATGTGAATAGTAATAATGCAACTTTTGCTAAAATATAAATTTTACCTATTATATCTATTTTATTATGTAGTTTATTAGGATCTAATTTGTTGTCTCTAGTTCTGTAATTGCAAAGGCAATCTTTTTAAGAGGGCACAATTAATGAGACAATTAAACACATTATAATGCAGTGACTTTTGTATTTTATTGTGACAAATAAATTTATACATCACTATTTTCAAGAGTAAACAGAATAAAAATTATAAGACATTTTAAGAAGAGTATCTGTAATTGATATGATTAACTTCATTGGCATGTCATATACAGTATAAAAGCTACAAATAATTGAAGTCATTAAAATAAAAGGAAAAGATCATTTTGTCTGTGCTTATGTGTATGTGTGTTTGTGTTTAAATATATGTGTGCATGGTGTATATACATATACAATCTGCTATGTTATTAATTTAGGTGTGATTTTTAAAATATTTTGAATTGCTTAAACAATTTACAATATTGAACTGAAGATTGCTTTATAAGGAAGTTTAGTTTTATCATCACAGCTGATATAATGAAAAAAATTAAATTAAAAAGAAAGTCTTTGGAGTTTTGCTATTATTCTAGACATCTTTTTCTTTTATTGCTTATTCCTTTTATTTTTTCATTTCCCGTTACTTAATAAGAATTGTAATTGTATTAAAGTTATATAAGCCTATGAAGAATTATTCTTGATTATTTATCTTTTACAGAAATTATACTATATTCATTTTAATATTTTCTGTTTTGTATTTTAGCTTGAGATGGGTTTATGCTTCCTTAGTCTGTGGAGGGAGGCAAGGTCATGCTGTGCAGTCATTACTTGCAGGAAAGAAGACTGCCACGTGGGCTTCAGGCTCCCTGACCTGCCCTTTTCTCTCTCTGTTTGCTTAACTTTACAGTAAGAAAGGAGGTGATTATTCTGTTTTGCCAGGTTATAATGCAGTGTAGGAGATGTAAACTTGGATAAATTTAGAGTTTTCCAAAGAGTAGATTAAATTTCACTATTAATTCTGGAAATTTATTGACTAAGGATACATGAGAAAATGTATCTGAAAACATGAGTATTTGTTTTCTTTTATTCACACCAGTTTCTCACATATATAAAACCAAAATGACTGGGTTAGTAGGTACAATCCTCAAAAAAGTAATTTATATTAATAAAAAATATGAAAATTCTTTAGATCAAATATTGTATGTTGCTTGGATAAAAAAGTAGGAGGAGATGTTATTTTACTATTTAATTGTGGAAGTTTGTTTTCATAAGTCCAAAGGAATTCTAACTGTTTAAGCTCATACACGTACACACATATACATACACACACACACAAAACCTCACTCAAATGCATACATCAAATATATGTCCCCAGGGTATTGTGAATAATGAGTAACTTTACTCACTTATATCCTTGAACCTACATAAAAACAAAAATACTTCCTCCAGGGCTATCCCTGAGGCTTAATATAAACAGACTGCTACTTCATCAGTCTACATTTGAAGGTATCTAACCACCAAAGTATTCTTTTATTTCATAACCACTGTCAATTTAGGTTTATAAGGCACAATGAATATATAGAAATCAACAATAAATAACATTTCGTCATTGTCCCTATGTTACATATATTGAAGTAGAATTTCTAAATTAATTTCTCAATTATACTACATTTTTATGAAAAATGAAAATTTCTGATATGATACTCTCACATAAATATTTTTTCATTCATTCAAGTAATTTTATTCTTTAGTACATAGACATATTGTATGGTAATTTATCTGTTCTTCATGGTACCATATACCTTCACATAGGTACGATTATTTAAATGAAATACAGTATATGAATTAGGGCTCTATTATTCCATTCTGCCTTGCAAAAAAACAGAAAGAAAGAACAAAAAGACACAAAGAAAGAAAAAAAATTCTTTACCCCACTAATAATGAAATAGCTATCTATTAATGGGCCAGAAATATCCATGGATTTCTGGAAATCTAAAAGTAAATAAGATTATATTAACAGATAAAGTAGACAAATATAACAACAACAGGAAAAAAACTGTCAAGAAGTTAGGTGCCAATTTTCTGAGTTCCAGGAAGGCACAACTTGAAAGCAGGTAGGGAGAAATGAAATAGACTGTAACAAAACAGTCAAAATACTGGAGCATCAAGATAACAGCTGGAAAATACAAAAAGCTTAGCATTTGATTATAACCTATTTCAATATAAACTGAGAAAAATGGGGATGGGTGCAGTAAGAGAGAATAAAATGAAATAAAACATTTTTCTGAGCCAAACGAAGACCAGAATCTTTAAATTGAAAGGCTCTTTACACAGTAGCATCCACAATAAATGGAAAACAGCCAGCACCTTGATACATTCTAGTGAACATTTAGAAGTTAATAAATTTTTTGGAAGAAGACAAAAACAGACTACTTATTTAAAAATAAAATAACATTGATAGCACACTTCCAATTGGCATGATTCAAGAAGGCAATAAAATGCATTTAGAGGTCTGACAAAAGAGGATTATAGATTAAAAAATCTATAGCAATCCAAAATAGTAACCTAATGTGAATTCAAAATAAACAATAAGAGAAACAAACTATCTAAAATATTTTCTGTACCTTTAAAAATAAGTAAATAAAGATTGATATCCTCGAAATGCTCTCATTAAAATGAAAGTGGAGTACAATAAAACAAAAAGAAGAGATTCTATTTTTGAAACACCCAAAAAGTATAACTAAAGAAATTTCAATTTGATAGCGTGCTATACATTTCCAAAAATCAGAAGTAATTAGAAGAGGTAGTCAGATGACTTTATGAGAAAAACTTTAAAAATAACTTATAATTTATTTCTAGTATAGTACAGCCAAGTATAGAATTAAATTAAATACTAATGATATAGGGGTCTGTTCCATTTTTGTCAATAGGAAGAAAGATGATTATTAGATATTACAAGGAATCAATAATATTTTAGTGAAATCATTGTTTACTAACAAAATAATCACGAGTAGTTTTATTCTAATCAATTTATAAGACAAAAATAAAGAGGCTTAACTTGTTTCAAATACTTAAAACATACTTTCAAGTAGCACTGACGTAGCACAGATATGGTAACACATGGCATTTCTTTTGCTAGAAGTTCATTCATAATGTTGAACACAGTCACGACTTAAATACTATTTATACATTTTTAACACAGGATAATCAATATTAGCCAAATATTAAAAAGATGTATTGTATAGAAGCTATAATTTAAAAATTGGGTGAAATATTAATAACAGTAGAACTGAAAGAAATCAGTCATGGTGTTGGTCATTGATTAAGAATGAGAGATTCAAATATATGACCTAAAGTTAAATTACGTAACAAATGAAATATATAAAAAGAATAATGTAACTAACTTTGCTGACAGGGCCTGGTTAGGTTAGGGCCTTTATATCATCATCCACAGCAATACTGAAAAGAACTTTACAGAAATAATTCTCTATCTTGCTAAGACAGGTCCTACCATTTCCTCAACTTCACCATTTTAAAGTTGATGAGGGAGCTAATAGATTTTCTAAGCCTCTGAGAAAACTGATTCTTCCAATGATGTCTAGCTTATATTAAAAGAAAGCGATCAAACCCAAAAATAAAATTACAGTTTAATCCACATGTTCTCTCTTCTTGAAAGACTGTAAGGACTAATCCTATCATGATTCACATCCCTGAAAACCTCAGTCAACACATAGAACTCAGGAGGGATATCAGCAAGATGGAAGAACAGGAGATAACTAGCTTTTGTTCTCACAGAAAGACCAAGTACCAACTATCTACAGATAAGAAAACCTCTTGGAAGGTTCTAGAATCTGAGGTGAGTCTGCAGCACCCCATTGGAATATATAAACTGAGAAAAGCCACCTTATAAAGGCAAAAGAAATGGTTTCCTTTTCACAGCATCCCCCCTCCACCCTGAGCTTGCACAACACCAACCAAGAGGATTATCCCCAACCTACAGTCTCTCCAATGGAGAAGAGACCTCAAGATGGATTTCTACCTTCTCCAGAGTTCATTGGTACTTCCTGAAAGTAGGAATTCTCCTCACAGAAAATACTCGGGGAATTGGCAGAGCCAGACTAATGGGAGATAGCTAGAAACAAAAAAGGGAGACAGAGGTCATACCCATCAGTATACAGACTTTGGTCAATTGGGCAGAGAGCCTGAACAAAAACCCCAGTCAGCATCTTGATACAGCCTTGCAGACCCACCCAAGCAGAAAGCTAAGCCAGCTACTCTGCCCAAATGCAGAGCACAGGTGGCAGCTCTGCTTGATTGCAGGTCATGGCTTGCAACCCCTTCCAACTGAGACACAGCCTGTGGCCCCACTCAACTTGGAAGCTCAGCCAGTTTCCTCACCTGAACACAGAGCTCAGATAGTAGATCAATTTAATCTCAAGTCCTGGGCAGCAGCCTCACCCAACTACAGAAATCGACATGCAGATCCATGAGCCCCAAAGTTTACCAAATTGAATTTTAAAAGATCTAAAACTAGACAAATTATGATTAAATTGTCAAAAATCAAAGATGAGAGAATTTTGAAAGTTGCAAGAGAAAAGCAACTCAACATATATTATAGACCCCTCATAAGAATATCAGTGGATTTCTCAGCAGAAACCTTGTAGGCTGAGAGAGGGTAAAATGATGTATTAAAAAACTTGAGAGATAAAACTTCTGCCTATTCAACACAGTGTTGGAAGTTCTGGCCAAGGCAATCAGGCAAGAGAAAGAAATAAAGGGTATTCAATTAGGAAAACAGGAAGTCAAACTGTTCCTGTTTGCAGATGACATTATTGTATATTTAGAAATCCCCATCTCCTTAATCTGATAAGCAACTTCAGCAAAGTCTCAGGATACAAAATCAATATGCAAAAATCACAAGCATTCTTATACACCAATAACAGACAGAGAGCCAAATCATGAGTGAACTCACAATCACAATTGCTACAAAGATAATAAAATAACTAGGAATCCAACTTAAAAGGGATGTGAAGGAACTCTTCAAGGAGAACTACAAACCACTGCTCAACGAAATAAAAGAGGACAAAAACAAATGGAAGAACATTCCATGCTCATGTATAGGAAGAATCAATATCTTGAAAATGGCCATACTGCTCAAGGTAATTTATAGATTCAATGCCATCCCCATCAAACTACCAATGACTTTCTTCACAGAATGGGAAAAAACTACTTTAAAGTACATATGGAACCAAAAAAGGGCCCGCATTGCCAAGACAATCGTAAGCAAAAAGAATAAAGCTGGAAGCATCATGCTACTAGACTTCAAACTATACTACAAGGCTACAGTAAGCAAAACAGCACGGTACTGGTACCAAAACAGAGATATAGACCAAGGGAACAGAACAGAGGCCTCAGAAATAATACCACACATCTGCAACCATCTGATCTTTGACAAACCTGACAAAAACAAGAAATGGGGAAAGGATTCCCTATTTAATAAATGGTGCTGGGAAAACTGGCTAGCCATATATAGAAAACTGAAACTGGATCCCTTCCTTACACCTTATACAAAAATTAATTCAAGATGGAGTAAAGACTTAAATGTTAGACCTAAAAGAGTAAAAACCCTAAAAGAAAACCTAGGCAATACCATTCAGGACATAGGCATGGGCAAGGACTTCATGACTAAAACACCAAAAGCAAT
Source organism: Homo sapiens (assembly GCF_000001405.40). Lineage (NCBI taxonomy): Eukaryota > Metazoa > Chordata > Mammalia > Primates > Hominidae > Homo > Homo sapiens. Next base: position 130,244,352 of record NC_000004.12, on the reverse strand, counting down.
GGCAACAAAAGCCAAAATAGACAAATAGGATCTAATTAAATTAAAGAGCTTCTGCACAGCAAAATAAACTACCATCAGAGTGAACAGGCAACCTACAGAATGAGAGAAAATTTTTGCAATCTACCCATCTGACAAAGGGCTAATATCCAGAATCTACAAAGAACTTAAACAAATTTACAAGAAAAAAAATCAAACAACCCCATCAAAAAGTGGACAAAGGATACAAAATAAAGAAGACATTTATGCAGCAACAGGCACACGAAAAAATGCTCATCATCACTGGCCATCAGAGAAATGCAAATCAAAACCACAATGAGATACCATCTCACACCAGTTAGAATGGCAATCATTAAAAAGTCAGGGAACAACAGGTGCTGGAGAGGATGTGGAGAAATAGGAACGCTTTTACACTGTTGGTGGGAGTGTAAACTAGTTCAACCATTGTGGAAGACAGTGTGGCGATTCCTCAAGTATCTAGAACTAGAAATACCATTTGACCCAGCGATCCCATTATTGGTATATACCCAAAGGATTATAAATCATGCTACTATAGAGACAGATGCACATGTATGTTTATTGTGGCACTATTCACTGTAGCAGACTTCGAACCAACCCGAATGTCTCCATCAATGATAGACTGGGTTAAGAAATTGTGGCACATATACACCATGGAATACTATGCAGTCATAAAAAACGATGAGTTCATGTCCTTTATAGCAACATGGATGAAGCTGGAAACCATCATTCTGAGCAAACTATTGCAAGGACAGAAAACCATTTATTTTTAGAAGTATTATTTGCCTCATAGTGATTATAAATATAAAATCAATTACTAGTTATAGACGATATAACATTTTTAGAATAGAATTGTGCCCAACACACAGTGTTAATATTTGCCTTGTGATATTCTGTTACCTTGTGAAGTACATGATCTTTGTGACCCACACCCTATTCGTACACTCCCTTCCCTTTTGAAAATCCCTAATAAAAACTTACTGGTTTTGCGGCTTGTGGAGCATCACAGAACCTACTGACATGTGATGTCTCCCCCGGATACCCAGCTTTAAAATTTCTCTCTTTTGTACTCTGTCCCTTTATTTCTCAAACCGGCAGACACTTAGGGAAAATAAAAAAGAACCTACGTGACTATCGGGACAGGTTCCCCGATACTTGTGACCTGTATCTTGTGCTGACCTCCTATCTCATCCTGTGACTAAATGCCTTATTCTCCTAGGAATGCAGCCCAGTAGGTCTCAGCCTTATTTTACCCAGCCCTATTCAAGATGGAGTCACTCTGGTTCAAACACCTCTGACAAATTTTCTGAAGAGGACATACAAATGTTCTATAAAATTGAAAAAAATGCAAAACTATAATAGCCTTTGGAAACACACTAATTAAAACACCATATTTTTTAATGCCCACACAGATGAATGACTAAGATATAAAAAGTCAGGCAGTACTAACTGTGGCTGAGGAGATGGAGAAATTAGAATGCTCTTGTACTACTAGTAAAATGAATTTGTACAAATTTTTAGAAAGCATTTGACAACATTTACTGAAGTTTGAAACATGCATACATTATGATCCAGAAATTTACTCTTAGAATATACATGATAAAAATGTGTACATGTATTCACCCAAAAGGATTTACATCTATAATCATAGCAGAATTCTTGACAATAACCCCAAATTGAAAGCAACTCCAATGCCCACTAGCAATAGGACTGTTAAGTGTAGTACTCTATTCACAAACAAAAGGATAATATAAAGCCATTAAAATAAAATGAACAGACTTCAACTATAGGCAGTAGCATACATAATATTTTCAAACATAATGTTGAGTAACATAAATTAGAAACACACTGCATCATATCATTTATATAAAGTTTAAAAATAGACAAATATATTGTATATCGTTAAAATTCAGATACTGATTCACCTTCCAAGGGCAAGCAATTGGAAGGTGACTGGCAGAGTTCTAGTTCTCTATATGGGTTCTAGTTCCATAGAAATGTTTACTTTGTTAAAAATTATTAAACGGTACATTTATGACCTTTATATGTTTTTGTATGTTATACTTTAAAAAAACAAACACATTCAACAAAAAGAGATCCCTTATTTTACCTTTTCTAGCCACCTTCATTACTACTATTCTATATTTGCTGGACATGTTTTATGAAATAACCTTCTACTCTTTACAGTTTATTTTTGTTGTAATTATAAATGGAGATTGAGATGATGAGATCTATTCAAATGATTATATATTTATATCCTATATTCTGTTAATATGGTCAACTGATTAGCCACATTGATTGATAGCACTTAATGAAATTAGCATATGCATGCATGTATTAATAATACTATCTTTTAATTTTTTATTATTTTAATATCTTAGTTGTTTTTGATAGAATTATGCTGGCCTCATAAACATTTTGGGAAGTATAATATTGCTCTTTTTTTTTTAGTGTCAGTAAGAATTTGTATATTTTTGGCATTATTTATTTCTTAAATGTTCGCTAAAAATCATTCATTATGCCAAATGGACTTACAGGTTATTTTATAAATTTTTGTTTCTTTAATTAAGAATTGAGTTAAATTTTAATTAGTTTAGCAAATGTAGGACTATTTAGATTATATATTGATGACATTTTAATACTAATTTAACCATTTTATCTAACTTATATTTATCAGCATAAAGTAGTTTATAAAATCCTCCTGTAACCTTTAATGTCTATTACCTGCCAGGATGCTTCCTTTTTGAGTTATAATGCTAATTATTTGTTCCATAACTTTTGATGTTTTATCAATCTTGTCAGGTGTTTATATATTTTATTAATCTTACAAATCACATTTTGTTAATCTTCACTAAATATTTGTTTTGAAATTTCATATTTATGTTCTTATTTTACTGTCTTTTTCTTCTAATTTCTTTAATGTACTTTTGTTTCTAACTTTATCAGATTGATGCTTAACTTCGTTAGTTTCCCATTTTTTTCCTATGCAGTGTAAGTTACAAATTTCTGACATAGCTTTAACTATTTCCCATAAATCTTGGCATATAGTATTTTAATTATTGGGTAACTCAATATATTTGTTAATGTCTATTATAATTTTTATCTTGAGTCACGTGTTATTTATCCTGTTTAGAATATTTTGTCTTATTTTTGTCACTTTTCTATTATTGATTTTTATCTTAATTATGGTCAGAGAATTATAAAATGTCAATCTTCTGCAAATTGAAATAGCTTAACACCTCAGCATCTATTCTGAAAAATAAAATAAAATAAAACTTGGTAAAGTAAGAGCAGAAAAAGACCATCTCAGAAAATATCTATGGCAAATATACTTAAAAGTGAAATGTTGTTGAAGGTACATTGAGACATAAAAACTTAGACTGATTATCTTAGTGATAAACTCATTTTTAGGTGCTCCTCTTTCTGTCTAGTAAATTTTTGGCATCAAGATCTATTTCATCTGATACTATTATAGCTATATGTGCCTTTATTTGGTGAATATTTTTTGCCGATGTTTTTCATCCTTTTACTTGTCACCTTTTATATATTCGTATTTAAATGTGTTTTTATAAGGAACAAGTTCTTACCTACATTTTTATTCAGTCAATCCACACTTATGTTTTATTTTTAGCATATAATCCAAGTTTATTCAACATAAATCCTGATATATTTGGTTTTAAGTCCATAATCTTCCTATTGCTTTCTTCTTTTCTCATTGTATCTGTATTCCTTTATCTTTTTATAATTTTTTAAATATGTGTTTTTTAAAAACTTCATTTTCTATTTCTTTCTGTGTAATAACTATACACTATTTAATTGGTTACCCCAAGTATGGCAGCATGTATTCCTGACTCAACAAAGTCTATGGTAAATTTCTATTTTATCACTTCCTGGAGAGTGTTAGTAATCAGAATGATTTAACTTCACCATGTCCTATATAATTGTAATCATAGGCTATTTCCTTCTACTTTAATAATACGTATGTCTAATAAAATTGTTCATTAGTTTTTATTAATATTCATTCAGACTTAAATCGTTAGTATTGATTTTTTTTCTTTGTGTCTGAGCTTTCATCTGGCTTTTTCCTTTATCCTTAAGAAAATCTACGCCTTTCCTTAGTGTGTCTACTAATAAATAATTTCCTGTTTTGTGATTACCTTTATTTGCCTTTATTCTTACAGAATCTTTCATTAATTATAGAAAGCTTGTTTAGCCAATGTTAGTTCCGTTTACTGAAGATACTGTCTCATTGTTTTGGCTTATAACTTTTCCCTTTTGTTTTGAGAAGTCAGCTATCTAAATTGTTCTTCAATAGTAACATTTCTCTTTTTTTCTAATTTCCTTAGGATATTCTATTTTTCTTTATATTTCAGCAGTTTTGATGTGTTGTGTCTAGCTGTTCATTTCTTTGCATTGTTCCTCCTTGGTGAAGAGTAAATCTGATCTTTGATTTATTTTATAATTTCTGAAAAAATCTCAGTGATTATGGCTTTCGTCTTGTTTCTGTATCGTTCTTTTATGCACTTTTTCTGGGAATCAAACTTCAGTTAGAACTTTTCAGTCTATCCTTTGTATTTCTTTCATGTTTTTTATTAAATTTTTATGCTTTATTTTGAACTATTTTCTGATTTATGCTTCAATTCACTAATTCTCTCATTAGCTGTAATATTATGCTATTAAACCTATTCCTTCAGTTATTAATATTAGTTGTAGGGTACTACAGTTGAAGAATTTCAGAATTTTAAGACTCTGCCAAATATTTAATTTAAAAAAAACATAATTAGTAGTCATTTTAAAGTCTATGTTCTATATTGTCTTTGAATCAGTTTTTATTTTACTTAATTTTTCTATCATGTTGACTTGTAACCTGGTATGCCTGATTATTTTTCACCAAGGCAAAGAAATTATATATTAAATATTGTAGAAGAAATTTGAGATTTTTGATGGGTTTATGTTTTTTCACAGAGAAAATTTCTTGTAATTTCCAGTGATCCAGACACATTAGCAATCCAGCATCACCTTTAACAAGTATAGGTATCTGAAGTTAGGCTTCACCTCTTGTTGTTACTCTTAGAGATAACACTTTGCAGCCTTAAGACAGCTTCTCTTTGAAAGGCCCTGGATTCCTATTTCCATCCCCTTGCTGCCAAAAAATTGGCTTAGGTTTTCAACTTCTTGTCTACCCTTTAGAGTCTCTTGGGAAAAAGAATGACCTAAGTAGTGGGTCCCTTTTCTAGACTTTCTTCCTTGAATTTTAGCCCCATAATTTTTCACTGCTCTTTTTAATTCTCCTATGCTTTCCAGCCTGTTTTTAAACAAATATGTTATCCAAATGTGCTCGCTGTTCTCTAGCTGTGGAAGGGCTCCTTCAGCAGTATTTAGCCTGCTTTTAAAAAAGGCAGAAGTTCTGAATTTTTCTTTTCTCTAAAGCATTTATCTTCTTCTGTGATTTTTTATAATTTTTCTATTTGCTGTGGTTATTGTTTAATATCTATATCCTCAGTTAGAATAAAAAATATATATCCACAGCAAGGTCCCTATCTCTTTACTTTATTGATGTATTTCTGGTGCCTGAAACAATACCTGATATGTAGTAGTAGTCATATAATGAGTAGCTTAGTATAATTCATATAATTAGTAGCTTACTAATTATTATTCCAATAAACAAAATCCAATACATAAATAAATAAATGGAAAAATTGATTTAGATAGCAATTCTGGGTTTTCATGCATTTATTATGCTTGACCTGTTTCTGTGGTAAAAGGCTATAAATTAGAATAGATAAAATAAAATATTACTAAAAAATCAGTATCAGTGGTACACATGGTAGACAATAAATGTTGAATGAAGAAAAAGCAGGTTTACAAAGAGTAGAGAAACGTTTTTGTTTAGGTAGCACATAGCTACTTACCAAGACACTGAGTTTTTATTTCTTCTCCCCTAGGATTGTCTGGCAGGCATCACAAAGAGCTGACTCAGTAAGGAACACATTGTAGATGCCTGATAAATACTTGTTGATATTGATATTGGCACTTTGCCAATGTATAAAAGTTTGCATTTCTATCTACATAAACGCCTTACAAAACGGAATATTCATGCATTAAATACACATGTCCTTAAACAGATGAAGGCAGTTAAATGAAACTATTGTATAAAATTTATTATTCTAATATAAGTCAATGTATTGGCAAAACTGTTAACTGTGTCTATAAATTAATCTTCCTTTATCCATGCATTCATTCAATAACAGTACATTAATTTCAAATACTTGTCAGGTATCTGTCTAAATTTTAGATATAGAATGACAAAAGAAATTAAAGTCCATGTACTCAAAGTGCTTACACTGTACCATATATTTTAAGAAATAGCAGGCACTTATAATGAAAATTATATATTTAAGAGATCCAAAATGATAAAAATAGTGTCATTAGTTCAACACTTTTTAAAATGTAATTTGAAATTAGAACCTAAAGAAAGCTTTAGAAAGAAACAAAGTAGCAGTTTACATTTGATTACATGATCACTAAATATCTAGTCTGCTGTATTTCTTTCTTCATTGTTATCATGTATAACATTTTCCAAATATACCAGTCGCAGATATCTTTTCTAATGTGAATATCATGAAGAACCTGTCAAAATAAAAAGAAAAGACATTCTTTAAAATATGTTTTCCCAATTATTTTTACAAAAACATGGATAACTGAACAAGGAAAAAGGTCAAATATAAATTTAGAAAAGCATAAGCATGTGAAACCAAAATACATGACAGTACTCAATAATATAAACTGATATCCAAGCAGCACATTATTTTTCAATAGCTTTGCCATCTCAAAAATGAGATGATTTGACGAAGTGAATAGTCTCTAATATTCCTATAGCATAATAGCTAAGATTAGTAATAGTTCTCTTTAAAGGAGGAATTACTGTGTAATCAACTGTGGTTTCTGTTGCTTCCAATAGTAGACTGTTCTCTGACAGCTCTTACGTAACTGAACTCCACCCATTTTACCTTTCAATTGTTCCTGCTTTTAAAATTACTTACTTTTCAATTAAATGAATGGAAACATAGTATTATTTAATAGGTAAATAATTATTATACAAATACATATGACTCACTAATGCTGATATAGTAAATCTGAAGAGTTAACATTTGTAGCCATTTCATAATCATTCAATAAGTAGTATTTTTATTTTATCATGTAATAAGTAGTCTATGTGAAAAATTATTACAAAAGATGTGAACTCTGACTTCAAACTCAAAAGCCTCATTAGTTTGTGGTCAAGAGTTGGTTTTGCTCTAGAAAAAAAATAAAATAATTTATTCATTCAGTTGAGAAACTTTAGGTGACTTTAAGCATATTCTGATAACCCTCCCTTGTATAAAAGACTTTAGTACCTCTATTACATTTTCCATAAAAAACATTTGCCTTCAGATATCCAGCAGTATTTAATCAGTTTGCAACTTATAATACTCCTGCTTAGACTATTCAACAAAGAAAAGCTTTTTAAAAATATATTTAAATTGTAGTTTGATAAGCCTACAAGAATTTTCAACTCTGTTAAATTCCTAGAAGATCTGGCCAACCAAAATTTCTGAAAATCTGTATTGTAAGCAGACTAATTTCAGATCTGCCGAGAAAAGGAGTCTGAACGTTGAGAAATTGATGCCAAGGGTTAACCTTATGTGAATAGTGGAATGAGTAAGAAAATCAGCCTAATCTAAGATGGATCTTCCACAAGTAAAAGGAAGAAAAAAAGATACTTGTCATTTAACATTCAGTAACTACTTTTCATGTGACTAATATCAACAGGTGCTATTTATAGGAAAAGTATATCAAAGGAACCAAAACAAATTAAATCCCTAACTTCCTAAATTTTACATTCTAGCTTTTATGGGAGGAACACAGAAAAATAAATTATATAAATAAATGAGTTATATACAGTAATAAATATTGACGAGTGTTGAGGGGAAAAACACTGGCATAGAGAAAGGATATGTGTATGAAGAAGTTGTCATTTTAAAGATGGTGTACAGGAAAGTGCCCATGAAAAGTCAACATCCAAGGAAAAGGAAATCCCTGAAGAGGTGCGCGAACAAGACCACACCAATATCTAGGGGAAAATTACTGCATGCAATGAAACTAAAATGGAAGCCATTAGATTATTTTTGGCAGAATTATAATATAATTAAGATTATATTAGTATATCATCAAGGATGATGATGCATTAATGTAGATCAAAGATGGGTAATGACAAAAACAGAGAAAAAAATAGGAGGATACTGCAAAAATTTTAATGAAAAACAATTGTGCCTTGTACCAGGGTAGTAGAGGTAAGGTGGTAAAAAATTTTCAAAGTCCAAGTATTTTTTTTTAATCACGCAGAAAGAATTTGATGTGGTATATAAAAGAAAGAGTAGAGTCAAATGAAATTCTCAGAACCAAGGCTTAATACCTATAAAAATAGAGTGACCAATAACAAAACTTGGTAAAGCTTAAGAGAGTAAATTTTGTTTGTTTGTTCATTTTGTAGAAAAGCCAGAGCTTCGTTTAGGACATATTAAGATTCCTATTAATACTCCCATTAAGGTTGTTGAGTCAGACCACTGTATATATGAGACCAGATACCAGAGAAGAGGTCTAGAGAGATATATATGTTTGGGAGTTATTGGTTATAAATAACTTAAGGGTTTTCCATGAAAATTGAAGACAATATGAGGGGATTTCTTGTCAAATGAAATTATGGAGACACACTGGCTAGACTCTGAGACTATAGAAAGTTAAGAGGTCTGGGATATGAGAGGGAATGAAGGCAATAAACTGAGAAGGAGTGGCCATAGAATTAAGTGAAAACAAAACAGACTGTGGTATTCTAAGAGCCAAATGAATATAATATTTGAAGGAGAAGGGGAATAATCAACTTTAGTGCTGCTGTTCAATTAATTAAGATAAACAGTAAGATATTTCCATTGTTAAAAGTGGCTTTTCTAGAATTGTAAACATGATAGCTCACTTGATGCAGGTTGATGTGAGAACAGGAGGACAGATAATGAAGATGGGGGTATAGCAATTCTTTCAATAAAGGCAAAGGAAAAACATAGTGCAATATCTGGACAGGAAAGTGGAATCAAGAGAGTTCATTTTTTTCCCCCAAGAACATATTTGTATATTTATGAAGTTACTCTATCAACCAAAAAAGAAAAATCAGTGGTGCAGAAAAAGAGGAAAGAAAGGGGAGACATGAGTTGGCTTGAGCCATGTCCCTATGTTAGAAAAAAGGGACAAAAATTGAAGGAGGGCTGTTTCATAATAGCAAGAGAAAAAAGACAAATTATATGAAAACTTATGTAGTTAGATGAGTAGATTGTGAAACTTGTTGAAGATTTTTTCTGATTACTTTGAATTTTTCAGTAAAATAAGGAGCAAGTTTATCAGCTCAGAATAAGGAGAGGGGAAGACGTGAAAAATCACATGGAGAGGAAAAGTTAATGGCTGGAAGAATACCTTTCATGTAACATTAAAAAAAATCAATTGAAGCTGTTGTCATACATTCAACTTACAATTTATCAGCAATATTGTATTATTTCCCAGTACTATTTGATTACAAAATTACTTGTATGGGTTAGACAAAGACGATGGTTGACACAGGCTCTGGTTTAGCAAAGTAATCCATCCAGAAATTTTGCTAGTATCTCCTCTCTCCTCTACAACTTTTCTTCTCATCTAGTTTGAAAAAATGTACCTAATTTAAAAGTAGGTAACCTATACATGACAGAACAAGGATCTTCCAAACTTATTGTTTATACTTTGAGTTATCTCTAGGATTAGGCCTCAAATGTCAAAAACTTAGATTTTTAATAAACTTTTAAATCTTAGAATAGTTTTAGATTCACAAAATTTGCAAACATAGTACAGAGTTCTCACATATTTCACACAAACTTTCTCTTGTTAAAATTTGTCACTTTTGTTATAACTAATAGACAAATATTAATATATTTAATGCATAATATATTTAATATTATATAAAACCTTTAATAGATAATACAACTAAACTCTATAATTTATTCAGATTTCCTTAGTTTTCACCAAGTGTATTTGTTTCTGTTTCAGGATCCCACTCAGGAAACTATACTGCATTTAATCATCATACTTCTTCAGGCTCCCCTTGACTATGACAATTTCAGTTTTTCCCTTTTTGGTGGTCTTTTCAATTTTAAGAAGCACTTGTTCAGTATTTTGCAGAATGTTCCTCAGATGGGATTTGTCTGATATTATTCTCATGATTAGACTATGATTGTATCTTTTGGGGAGGAAAATCACAAAGGTAATATGCCATTCTTATCATAACATATCAAAGGCACAAACTATTACCAGGACTTAATAACTGTTGATGTTAGTCTTGCATCAATTGAGGTAGTGTTTATTAGTTGGCTCCACTGTAAAATTACCCTTTTTTCTTTCTTTCCATGATGTAATCTTTGGTAAAAAGTCACTATGCATAGTCCTCATTTAAGGAATGGGGAGTTATGCTCACCTTTCTTGACATCAGAATAGCTACAAAAATTTCCTTTGGCCCAGGAGATTTATTAATCTGTTCCCATTATTTATTCCATCACTTGTTTCTAATAGTTTGAGTTATAATGTAATACTGTGTCGTTTATTTTGTTGTTCACGTTTTTCTGGCTTTGGCCATTGAAAATACTTTTGGTTGGTTCTTCTTTCCCTTTGACATATAGTCATCATTGTGGGCTTTTTAGTTTCTGTTTTGGTTTGTTTTGGTTTCAGTTTTGGCTTTTGAGCACTTTCTCACTTTCTGGCACTACAAAACGCTCCAGGCTCATCTTGTATATGTCTCACCCCAACACTAGACTCAGCCATTTCTCCAAGGAACCCTGAAAAATCCAGATATTTTACATTCAAAAAGAACTTTAAATTTTTTTCTGTCCTAATATTCTTCTCTAAGGCAATGAATTTTTCTACATAAATTTCAATTAACAGAAATATATATAATATTATAAATTATCTCAACACTAATAATATGAAAAATAGTAGGAAAAGCTTCCATATATAGGGAGCCTTTTGAGACCAGATAATATTATCAGTACCTTACAAGTATTAAGTCATTTAATACCGACAACAACCATGTAAGCTAGTGTAATGGGCACTGTTAAGTGTTTTATTTCATGTAATCCCATAATAAAGCACCATGAGATAATTTATTATTATTATTTCCATTTGGAAGTTGAAGAAACTGGATCCCAGGCTCACATGGATTTTAGTTCAGGGATATGAATTCAAGTTTATCACCTTCTTAAATGCAAAATCTTAATTGTTAAAAAGAATAGTCTCCTTGGCTATATTCATGCAGGAAAAATAATCAAATTCTCTTTGTTATTTCTACTGCAAAATGATGGAATTGAATATTAACACTGAAAAGTTCTTTTTATTATAAATGCTGTAATTTAATGATTTCTTTGATTCTTCTGATGGTGTTAGATGCCTTTGTCTCTGTGTTATTTTCATATTCTGTATATATGTCTAGAAAATGATTTATCATAAGAAACCAAATTATTCCTTTACATGTCTCTTCCTACATACTTTATCTGTATAACTCAAATCATTTTCTTGTATCTATCATAGATAAGATACAAATTTTAGTTTAATGATTAAATAACTAAATGAATGAGTCAAATATCAATGATAAGATTAAAGGTCTTTATAGGCAAGGCACACACAAAGTTGTTTTTAAAAATATTAAAGATAACTAAACATAATTTCTTGTGAGGGTTCTCAGGTTATGGATAAACTCTTACTGTTAGTCTTGAAACTAGATATTTTAACAAACTTAGACATTATAAAAGAGAGAGAAATTTCTAAAAAGGTAAAAGACAACAGGCATTTCTCTTACTTTACGTCTTAAAAGCATATGTAAGATACAATACTCAAGGGGAAGGGAAATAAATGTTGCTTTCTAAGTAATAGAAATTTACATAGAGTGATTGATTCCAATTTCAACCTAATTTTACTAGCATATATTTTCAGTATAATTTATGACTACTTCATTTTGAAATACTTATTGTATGTTTAAAGGTAGATTGGTAAAGATCAGCCCAATTCTCTGTTGAACTTATCTAATGCCTGAGCTTTAATTGAGTTTATCCATCAAAGTCACATTTCATTTGGAGAATGGATGACAGACTACAGCACTTAGCAATGATGAAGGAAGGGACTTTAAATTAACTAACAATAGTGTCTTAGGACAAAACGTCTGTATTCATGGACTGCTTCAAACTTTAATTCAAAATTTTTTAAAAGTTTAACAATGAATGATCCTCAAATATTGATTAAAATTAGTATCACTATAAATTGAAGGCATATGATAGCAGGACATTTAAGCCTGGTTGTGTATATGTCCTGGCATGTCATTTTTAGAGTTGTATCAATATGTAGATAAAAATTTTAAGTCAGTAGCTTTATATATAAATTATGTTAAATTTAATATGCTTTGGTTTGCATACTTAACACACTCATTGATGGTGTTATAGTAGTTTCCCTTTATCCATCATTTAGTTTCTATCATTTCAGTTACCCACAGTCAACTTGGGTCCAAAAATATTATATGAAAAATTTCAGAAATAAAAAATCTGTAAGCTTTAAATTGAGTAACCCATGTTGTCTCACCCAGGCTACAAATCATCTCTTCGTCTAGTATATCGACTCCATATACACTACCTTCCTGTTAGTCACTTAGTAGCCATCTCAGTTAACAGATCGATTGATATCGTGTATATAGCATTTGGTACTATATCAGTTTCAGGTATCCACTTGGAGGTCTTGGAACATATTTCCCACAGATAAGGGTGGACCACTGTATAATTGTCAATGAAATTAGATGCAAAATTATTTATTTTCATAATTTAAACAAAAATAGCTTAGAGAATGAAGAAACTGAAGGAAGGAAAACATACATATTGTCTGTACTTTCTGGTTATCACTGCCCATGGCTAATGTGATTATTTCCCCAATTCTAGAATGCATAGTTAAAATAAACGTATTTGGCTAAATGACAAAATTCCTATATTTGTTGCATGATCAATGGACTAAGGGCTGTGGTGGTAGGAAAGACTGAGTAGAAGCTGCTATCTATTAAAATAATATACCAAAGCAATGTCACCTATCTGGAGAGATATCAGAGATCCGTGCCACCATCCAGGGCTTGACAAATGCAGGAGTGTTGATTATCGCCATGTAGCTATTTAACTTGGTTATTTGGCCTCTGTAGAAGACAGAAGTATTTGGAGAAAGGCAGTGTATTTACATATACTTGAAAATGTGATTTCATTGCACTTGTTGTTCTGGATGTGTGTTCTGGATGTTCTGGATGTGTGTGCATGTGTAGGTGTGTGCACAAAGATATCTGACATATGATTATTGATCTGACCAAAGCATTATTTTCTGTATTAAGACAATATGAAATAGTTTGCATTCAGCTGGAATAGCCAGCAATATACCTTTGCAGTCTTACTTAAAGGCTATCTAAATTTGCCACCTCCATGCCAAACCTAGTCTGCAAAGAATTGATCACCTTTCCCTTCCACAGAATATTACCCTGGTCCACTGATAATTTCATGGAGCTGGAACTGGGAAGAATGAAGCAACAACTACTTATATACCCTGCTAGGGCATATGTGAGCCAATTAGTAGAAAATAATTCTCATGAAAATTCAAGTGTCTGCCACCTCAGCGACATTTCTAGGAATTCAGTGATCTGAGATGTGTCAGTATACTCTAAGGTAAAGATCAAGTTGCTCCATCTGGCCCCTCTTACCACTGAGAAAAAAATATAATGACTATTGCTCTTTTGTAGAATTTAGAGGAAACATAAATCTCATGTGAATGTGCTACTCATACCCAATCACTAAGTAACCCAACAGTTTTTAGTGGAGCCCAAAACAAATAAGGGATTTTCAACAAGTCCAAAATGCCATAAAAGCTGTTCTGCTGTGATTTTCTCAATCACAAGATCTCATGGTGTTCTAAATGTTGGTAGGAGACGGAAATGTGCATAGCAGCTTCTCAGAAGTGAATTAAAGCACAGACCTTTACATTTTAGTTCATACCTATACCAGTCTCTATATACGATTATTCTCCTTTGAGAAACAGCTTTTGGCTTTCTATTGAAGTTCAACAGAAACTGAATATTTTACCATGAGCCCCTGAGACACCAAGTTGCTATGAATGAATTTATGCCAAAGCCATAAATTTGTTATGCACAATTGTTTCTATTTTCAAATGGAATATGAGAGCATGAACAATCAGGTCTTGAAAATACAAATAAGTTTAAAGAGTAGATTGCCCAGATGTCCATGACGTCTATTTCTAGTACATTGCCTTCTCTTTCCACAAATATATATGGTTTCCTGGGGAATTCCCTATAACCAGTAGTTTGTGGAAGAAATTATTCAGATTTTGTTTACAAATGGTTCTGCTAGATATTGTTTCACCACCTGAGTAAATGACTGTAGAATGACAGTTCAACTCTGAAGTGACTGTAGTGACATGAAGGAGAGTGATGAAGAAAAATCTTGTCAGTGGAAATAACTTCAAATAGTGTACTTGAACGCTCATCTTTCCTGGACACAAACAGAGCCAGAGATTTAGACCTAACTGATTCATAGCTCTAGCTAATGGTTTGGCAAGATGACCAGGGACTTGGAAGGAACAAAGTTCAATAATTAGATAATTGGAGACAAGTTAGTATAGGGAATAGGTATGCAAATAGACCTCTTCAAATGGGCCCAGAATATGAAAGTATTTGTCCCCCATATGAATGTTCACTAAAGAGTGACCTCAGCAGATGAGAATCTTAATGATCATGCAGATAAAGTGACAGTTTGGTAGATGTCAGTCAAGGTATTTTTCTAGACACCTCTGTCCCTAATCAATGAATTCATGAACAAAGTGGCCACCGCAGAAGGGATGGAGGTTCTGCTTGAGCTAAGCAACATGTATTATTGCCCACAAAGGTGGATAAAACTACAGCTGCTGCTTAGTGCCACAACAGCCAACAGCAAAAATCATACTGAGCATATAATATGACATCTTTCCCTTGGGGAATCAGCCAGCTACCTGGTTCATTTTCTTGGACCTCTTCCATACTGGAAAGGGTAGCACCTTTTCTTAATGGAATAGACAGTTTTTGTGGACATTAAATTGCCTTTTCTGCCTGCAACGCTTATGCACAAAAACACAATATATGATTTTATTGAATGCCTTACTCTTCACCATGTTATTTCATACAGCACTGCTTTCAACCAAGGAAGTTATTTTATGGCTAATTTAGTGTGCCAATGACCCATGCTCATGAAATCTACCATGTTGCCAATCACTCTTGAGCAGCTGGCATAATAGAAAGATGGAAAGATCTTTTAATAATATAGTTACAATTTCAGTTGGGCAACAAATTTCCAAGTTCAGTGATGACATTCAGGATGTCCTCTATATTGGTGACCAATGTGCAGTGCTGGTTCTCCCAAAGCCAGGTTTATGACTATAGATATTAAGGATGAAAATATGATTAGTTTCTATTACCTGTTGTGATCCAGTAGTGAATTTTTGTTTCCAGTCCCCAGAATTTTGAGTTTTGCTCATCTAATGTCCTTTGTTCCCAAAGGAAAAATGCTTACACTAGGGAAAACAAAAATGGTTCAATTAAACCGGAAGTTGTGACTGCCTATGGGAAAAAATAAAACACTCATGTCAGTGACTCAAACAGGCAAGGAAGAGGGTGTGACTCCTACTGTCTAGTCTGCGGCACATTTATCCTGTTTATTGAGGGGAGACTGGGTTGCCAACTGACAATGGGTGCAAAAAGCAGAATGTCTACATTGCAAGAGAACCACTGGAGAACCTCAGTACTCCCATATTCCATGATAAAAGCTAATAGAAACTATAATAAACTTAGTACAGACGGAATCGCAAATGGGACAGGGCATGGTTGTGAGATTTAGTAAATAAATACAGAATGTCGACTTACAATTGAATTTCAGATAAAAAACTTTTTTTAAATTTAAGTATGTCTCATGTAATATCTGACATATACAGTTGACCCTTGAGCAATACAGGTTTGAACTGTGTGGGTCTACTTATATTCAGATTTTCTTCTGCCTCTGCCACCCCTTTTATTTCTTTTTTTCTTCAGCCTACTCAATATGCACAGGAGGAGAATGAACACCTTCATCATGATCCACTTCCACCTAATGAATAATAAATGTATTTTCTCCTTTTATGACTTTCTTAATAACATTTTCTTTAGTCAAGCTTACTTTCTTGTAAGAATACAATATATAATATATGAAATATGTGTTAATTGTTTATGTTATCAGGAAGGTTTTCAGTCAACTTACATTTAAGAATAAGATGATTTTTTGTATATTTGTTTTCTTTACTTTTGATTTGAATTTTGCCTGTTACTGAGTGTGTTGTGTATGTGTATATAAAATGATGTGTTATCATTACATAGTCATATAACTACAATTATATATAACTCATTATACATCATACACATGTAGAGAGTTTAGAAATGTTCTCATTTGTAATCTTGATTTATTATCTATATCTTATTATTATGGAATTTTGTTAAATTCTATTTGTATGATTTTGATTGCCTGTTTAGTTATAACTCTAGCCCTTTATTGAATATCTGTTCCTTGACCTCATCTTTTATAATCACTCTCTTTTTATTTTATTGGTGTTCTCTCTTATTTTGAAAAATTTCAAAGTTTCTTCTCCAAGTCACTGACTATTTTGGAAGTGTCAATTCTGCTTGATAGTGCCTTAGAAATAAATTTTAATTATGCCAAGACCAGCTCAGTTGGAGAGACCGTAACCCAGCAGTGCTAGAGGAATTAAAGACACACACAGAAATATAGAGGTGTGAAGTGGGAAATCAGAGGTTTCACAGCCTTCAGAACTGAGAGCCCTGAACCGAGATTTACTCACGTATTTATTAACGGCAAGCCAGTCATTGGCATTGTTTCTATAGACATTAAATTAACTAAAAGTATCCCTTATGGGAAACGAAGTGATGGGCCAAATTAAAGGAATAGGTTGGGCTAGTTAACTGCAGCAGGAGCATGTCTTTAAGGCACAGTTCACTCATGCTATTGTTTGTGGCTTAAGAATGCCTTTAAGCGGTTTTCCACCCTGGGCGGGCCAGGTATTCCTTGCCTTCATTCCCGTAGCATGGGAGTTACGGCCATCATGAACATGTCACAATGATGCAGAGATTTTGTTTATGGCCAGTTTTGGGGCCAGTTTATGGCCAGATTTGGGGGGGCTTGTTCCCAACAAATTACTTGTTAAAAGTTTGAGTTTTCTTATATTTTCATCTTACTTCAATCACTTACCTTTCTATTTCATAGTTTATCTCCATATGGTGATTCCTTATGAATTTCCTGTCTTTGTCAACAGAGGGGTATCATATTTAATTATTTTTTGGAAATTCAAGTTGTTCCCTTAAATTTACTTAATCATTTTAGTATACCAGCAAATTTATAGTTTTGAATGTATATAGGGTTCATGTTTTCCTCAAAAGATACTAAGAAGATAGCTGAAGGTTAGATCTTATCTTTGACTTCATAGACTGCCTGTACCTTTCAAAAGCATTCCTCTTCCAACACCACTTTCTTCAGCAACTATTTCTCTCAGTGAAGCAAGAGAAATCAGAGTATAGTAGCTACTTATGGCATTTAGGTTTACACTCTACACATTTCCGTAATTCCTATAAGGCTTTATAAGTGAATTAGTTTTGTAGCTTTTGCAGAGCTGGGTAGCTGTTACTACAAATGGTCCTGTATTTTCTTTCTTTTCTTTTCTTTTTTTTTTTTGAGACAGAGTCTCGCTCTGTCACATAGGCTAGAATGCAGCAGAGTGATCTCAGCTCACTGGAACTTCTGCCTCCTGGATTCAAGCAATTATCCTGCCTCAGCCTCCCGAGTAGCTGGGATTACAGGCATGGTAATTTTTGTATTTTTAGTAAAGATGGGGTTTCACTATGTTGTCCAGGCTGGTCTCGAACTCCTGACCTCAGGTGATCCACCCACCTTGGCCTCCCAAAATGCTAGGATTACAGGTGTGAGCCACAGTGCTCCGCCCACTCTTTGGTTTTCTAAGCATATTTTAATGTTGAAATGCCTATTGAAAGCAAATATCTCAGAAGTACTTTCTTCCATGCGATAATCCTTACTTTCATTTTTGAATGGCAAAATCACTTACCATGGTCCACCACTGACAAGATTTGTTGCCTGAAGTGTAGCATCTCTTCTCAGTGTCCACTTTAATATTGTCATATTTATCCTTCCAGGTCTAATCCTGAAAAGCAGATTGATATATGCAACCTATTGTTTAATTTATGATGATTAGTTGTCAATCATCTGTGATTGGTCACAAGGGCTCCTTTAGCATCTTCCACACTACTGTGGTTATCCTGATGTGCTGGAAAGATCCACTGTAACATTCAAAATAAGAATAGTGCTGTATACAAAATACTACAGCTCCCATTGTTCATTAATCATAATGCTATTTTCATATTTATTAATCCTTAGTAGACTGTTCCTGAGTGAACATTTTAAAATGTTGTAGAATGCATCAAAGATATAGCTGCACCCTATATCTTTACTTTTTAAAGATTTTATGTGGCAAAAACTGTATTGTTGAAATGCTGTAAGAGAGGTGAACAAATGAATGCATAAATTTAGTTCTACCTGGCTCAGGAGTAGTACCCAACCTATTTCTTTTTAATTTTTTTTAATTCAACATTTGAAATTATTAAAATTTTTCACAGCTCTTTTTCAAGTATTGTAAGAATGCTTTGTCAATTGTTATTTTCATTATCTTCATTTTCTCAATTCAAATATTTTAGCATAAACGGCATGCATTATTGTAGGTAAGGAAAAAAAAAAAAACGCATTCCCAGAGAGATTGTGTTGATTTTTTTCTTATAGCTGAGTTTGTGAGCTTGTAGTAGTCCTGGGATTGTAATGTTGATGCTCTAGTCCTGGCAACCTGGCAATATTATATTTGAAATATATTATGTGAATGTTTTCTTGAGATTTTTTTCCTCATCTTTATCCAACCCTTCCCTCAGTAACAAAATTCACTCAAGCAGCTGCTAATTTTCCTGGCTAATTGCCTCAACGAAGGAGCAATTGATAGAGCAAGTAACTTAAGAATATTATCCTTGCTTTTGAGTTTCAAATGCCTTGCTCTCAAGAAAATGATTAATTCATTTAGTGGAGTGATGTAAACAAGATGTCCCGCGAAAAATCCCGAACATTTCCACAAAGACAGCTAAACAATGAATAAACAACTATATTTTAACAAAAGTAACTAAAAGAATGTTCCAGAGTATGTCCAAAGATTAACAAAATTCCTAGGTAGCACAGAAAATGAGAATAAATACATAGATAATGGAAGGAAACACTCGGACTCCATCACATCTCCCAGCCAGGATCAGCCAGGAACTAGGATTCTCTCTACAGTGTTAAGGTGAGTAAGAGGATCCAAACAACCCTTACCAATATTTTGGACACCTACGGTTCTCATCCTCAGGGTCCTTGCAGTTTTCACAGGCACTAAGCCCAGGTGAAAGAGTTCCCAGCAGTGCACACCACTGTGCTCCTGCCAGAGAGGGGGCCAACACTGTTCCCTTCCCACTGTGCTCCTTGCAGCTACTGTGATACATCATCTTCAAACCAGAACTATTTCTGGAGTGTTTCTTGCTCTAGGGGCAAGTAGCTGCAGCACTCCTTCATTTCTGAGGCTAAGTCACCACTGAACTACTCCCACCCAATGACCCCACACTCCCAAACGGAACTGCCAGCAGCTATTACACCTTTCCCTATGTGGCTAAGCAGTAGTTGAACCAGTCCACCTGCCCCTCCCTCCCTCCTTCCAGCAGGGAAGTTTTGGGAATATACATACACACTCCATCCTGGGAAAAGGGTTCTTTGGCAAAATAGCTCTATCTGTCTTTCTCAGATGTGTCTGTGCCCTGCTCCTAGAAACCTTAGCTGAAACTGCACACTGCCTTCCCAGGAAACAATGTTTGGCAAGCTCTGTATCCCAGGAAAATGGTCCCTGGACTACCCAGAATAGTCACACACCCGGGACCTGAACTGAGGTGGCATATCACCCCCTGGGAAATTGGTGCCTTGGTGGAGCTGAACAGATGCACATCCCAGGGCTGAGCTGACACTTTACTTCACGTCCTATGAAAACAGAGCAGTAGCTGCACTGAGGCACCCCACAGTACAAGACAAATAACTCTAGTATCCTGCTTCCCTGAAGCTAGACTAGCCCCCTACAGACTGACCTGGTGAGATGCCCCTCTCCCTGGGGAGTGGAGTCATCAATGTATTGCTCCCTGTCCCACAGCACCCAAACAATAGCCATGCTCAGCCACTCTAGGGTATTTGCTGTCACTTTACATGGTCTCACAGAATCTGGAACACTGCAGAGCCCCAGCACCCCAGGGTATAGAGTTCCACTATGCAGTGCCTACTATCCAGGATCTGAGGTGACACTGAGCCATATTGGCTCAGGCTCCTGAATTACAGCCATATCTTCCCTCACAGACTCAAACTTCCAAAGCACTCCTTATCTGAAATGAATCCAGGGTTGTGCCCTACCCCCAGGGCTAGAATCAGAGTTATAACCTGAATCCCTGGACTTGAGCTGCTAGAGAGTGCGTGAGAGTCACAAATTCTGGTGCTACAGTTAATTTGCACCCCAAGACCTATTTGTCACAATAGATTTGTAAGATCCTGAGCCTGGGATCCTGGGCTCATAACTGCTCTGCGCACCTATACCTACAACCCAGTGTTGTGGCAGCTGCTTTTAGGCCATGTCAGCCCTATTATCAAGAGGCATCCCTCATCCAAGTTTCCTCATTGTAAGAAAAAAGAATGGAAGGAGCCAAAAACCTCTTGCCACTGAAGACATTAACAACCTATTCTGCTACCACAAACTTCTACAGCCTAGGCCCCTGAAATGCCCATAATTATTGCTGATACAGAAACATAGCTAAATAAGCTGCATGGAGACTATACTACTGCACCTACCTGGCAACAGCCACCATACCTTTCCCAACAGAAAGACCCACTTTGCAAGTGAAAGATCCAAATTCACACTAACCTCAAATTCAGGTGAAAGTCTTTTTCTGCTAAAGCCACTCTAGAAAGTTTGGAAGAGGTGACTGTTCCACCAGATTTACAGACATCCATGCAAGAACATAGGAAACATGAAAAAGCAAGGAAATATGACAGAGTCAAAAGAATGTAATAACTCTTTAGTAATAGACCTCAATAAAAAGGAAATCAATGAATTGCAGAAAAAGGAATTCAAAACAGTAATCTTAAGGAAACTCAATGGGATACAAGAAAATACAGGCAGACAATCAACAAAATCAAGAAAACAATTTATGATGTGAATGAAAAAGTAAACAAAGAGACAGACATTATAAAAGAACCAAACAGAAATTCTGCAGCTAAAGAATCCAATGAATAAACTAAAACTACAATAGAGGGTTTCAACACCAGACTTCATCAAACAGAAGAAAACGTTTCTAAAGGTAAAGATATATGGTTTAAAATTAGTCAAAGGAAAAAACTGAGAATGAAAAAGAGAGTGAAGAAAGACTGAAAGATTTATGGGACATCGCTAAGTAAATATATTCACATTATGGGTGTTGCAAAAAGTGGTGAAATAGAAAAAGGCTTAGAAAAGCTGTTAAATGGCTGGGCACAGTGGCTCATGCCTGTAATCTCAGCACTTTGGGAGGCCGAGGTGGGTAGATCACGAGGTCAGGAGTTCAAGACCAGCCTGGCCAACATGGTGAAACCGAATCTCTGCTAAAATACAAAAATTAGCTGGGAGTAGTGGCAGGTGCCTCTAATCCCAGTTACTCGGGAGGCTGAGTCAGGAGAATTGCTTGAACCTGACGGGCAGAGGTTGCAGTGAGCCGAGATCGTACCATTGCACTCCAGCCTGGGCAATAAGAGCAAAACGTCATCTCAAAAAAAAAAGTATTTTTTTATTTATAAAATAATATTTTTAAAAAATTATATCTTTTAAAATTATTATATAATGAAATAATAGCTGAAAACATCTCCAATCTGAGGAGAGATATGAACATCCAGATTGAGAAAACTCAAATTTCTCAAAGTAGATTAAATTAAAAATCATCCTTCCTGAGGCGCGTTATAGCTAATTTTTCAAAAGACAAAGATAATTTTTAAAATAGCAAGACAAAAGCATCATGTCACATATAAAGGAATTTTTATTAGGCTAATAGCAGATTTTTAAACAGAAACTATATAGGCCAGGAGATAATAGAATGATATATTCAAAATACTGAAGGAGAAATTCCCATACAAGCAGAAACTTAAGAGATTTGTCACTAATAGACTGGCCTTTTAAGGAATGCTAATAGGAGCCCTGCATCTCAAAGTGAAAAGATGAAAATCACCATCATGAGGACATGCGAAAGTATACAACTCACTGGTAGAGCAGATATACAAAGAAGAAAGAAAAAGCAATCAAACCTTATTACTACCAAAAACCACCAAACTGCAATGATAAACAATAAGAGAAAGAAACAAACAAAGGTTATACAAAACAACCAGAAAACAATTAACAAAGTAAGAAGATAAACTACTCACCCATCAACAATAATCTTGAATGTAAATAAATTAAATTCCCCACTTAAAAGATGTAGAATGGCTAAACGGCCAAACAACATAACTGAAGCATATGCTGCCTACAAAACACTCACTTCACCTATAAAAACATATATAAACTGAAAAAAGATATTCCATACAAATGACAACCAAAAGTTAAAAGGAGTAGCTATTCTTAGATCAGATATTATGAAATCTAAGTCAAAACTATGAAAGAAAAAAGGAAATGAAAGATACTATATAACGATAAAGGGATCAATTCAATAAGAGGATATAACAATTATAAATATATATGCACCCAACACTAGAGCACCCAGATATAAAAAGAAAATATTTTTTGATCTCATGGAGTATATAGGCTCCAATGCAGGCATATTTGGGAACTTTAACACCCCAGTCTCAGCACTGATCAGATCATCTAGATAGAAACTTACAAAAGAGACATTGGATTGAAACTGCACTTTATACCAAATGAAGCGAACAAACATTTACAGAACATTACATCAAACTGCTGCAGAATGCACATTTTTTTCATCAGCACAAGGAGCATGCTCCAGGATAGACCAAATGCTAGGCCATAAAGTAAGTCTCAACAAAGTTAAAAGAAATGAAATTATAACAAGTATTTTTTTTAATTACAGTGAAATAAAACTAGAAATCACTAATAATAAGTAATTTTCAAACTGCATAAATACATGGAAATTAAACAGCATGCTCTTGAATGGTTAATGGATTAAGGAAGAAATTAATAAGAAAATTATAAAAATTTCTTCAAACAAAAAGATGTACACAACATATCAAAACCTAAGAAATACATCAAAAACAGTATTAAGGGGGCGGTTTATAGCAATAATGCCTACAACAAAGAATAGAAAGATTCCATATAAACTATCTAGTGATGCCTCTCATGAAACTAGAAAGGCAAAAACAAACCAAGCTCAAAATTAGTAGAAGAAAAGAAATAATAAAGATCAATGTAGAAATAAAATTGAGACAAAAATACAATGGATCAACAAAACAAAGAGTTGCTTTTTAAAAAAAGATAAAATCAACAAAACATTAGCCAGACTAATTAAGAAAAAAGAGGAGATACAAATAAGTAAACATGGAAACAAAAAAAAGGGCATTACAAATGATACCACAGAAATACAAAAGATCATTAGAGATTATTTTGAACAAATGTATTTCAGTAATTGGAAAACCTTACAGAAATAAAAAAAAAATTCCTGGACACACACAACCTACCAAGATTGAACCAAGAAGAAATAGATAAACCAAAAAGGTACATTTTAGGTAAAAAGATTGAATCACTATAACAAGTTTATCATGAAAAAAAATTTATCATGAAAAAAAAGTTTATCATGTAAGGAAAGCTCAGGACCTGATGACTTCACTGCTGAATTCTATCAAACATTTAAAAAAGAACTTACATCAATTCTTCTCAAAGTCTTCCAGAATATTAAAGAGGAGGAAATCCTTCGACACTCATTCTATGAGGCCAACATCACTGTGTTCACTAAACCAGAAAAGGACACAATGAAAAAGAAAACTATTCACCAATATTTTTGATGAACATAGATGCAAAAATCTCTAACAAAATATTAGCAAACAAAATCCAACAGTACATTAAAAAGATTATTCACCATGATCAAGTGGATTTATTCAGGGATGCAAAAATGATTAAACATTCATAAATCAACAAATGTTAAACATCACACCAACCAAATAAAGGACAAAAAGTGATCATATCTGTAAATGCAAAAAAAACTATTTATACATTCAAAATCCCTTCATTATAAAAACTCTCAACAAACTATATATAGAAGGAACATATCTCAACACAATAAAGACCATGTAAGACAAACTCACAGCTAACATTGTACTGAATGGTGAGAAACTGAAAGCTTTTCCTCCAAGAACTTGAAAAAGACCTCCAAGGTAATGATCAACACTTTCACCACTCTCATTTAACATAGTACTGGAAGTCCCAATCAGAACAATTAGTCAAGGGAAAAAAATAAAGAGCATCCATTTGGAAAGGTGGAGCTCAAAATATAATCTTCCACCTTTCCAAATAGATGTTCTTTAGTCCCTTCCTTTCCTTTTCCAAAATATGTTTGCAGAAAATATGATCTTATAAATAAAAAAAATCCCGAAAATGCCATCAAAAACTGTTAGAACTAATACGTATATTCAATAAAGTTACAGGACACAAAATTAACATACAAAAATCAGTAGCATTTTTATACACCAATAATGATCTAGCAGAAAAAGAAATCAAGAAGGAGATCCCATTTATGATAGATATAAGAAAAGAATTAAAATACCTAGAAATGAATTCAACCAAAGAGGTGAAAGATCTTACAAAGTAAACTATAAAATACTGTTGAAAGAACTTGTAGAAGTCACAAAAATAATGGAAGGGCATCCCATCTTCATAAATTGGAAGAGTTAATATTGTGAAAATGACTATACTACCAAAAGCAATCTATAGATTCAATGCAATCCCTATTAAAATACCAACAACATTCTTCACAGATATAAAAACATCCTAAAATTTATATAAAACCACATAATACCCCAATAGCAAAAGCAATCCTGAGCAAAAAGAACAAATATGGAAGCATTTCCTCACCTGACTTCAAAATATACTACAAAGCCATAGTAATCACAATAGTTTAGTACTGGCATATAAACAGACAT
This sequence comes from Homo sapiens, assembly GCF_000001405.40. Taxonomy (NCBI): domain Eukaryota; kingdom Metazoa; phylum Chordata; class Mammalia; order Primates; family Hominidae; genus Homo; species Homo sapiens. The sequence goes on along the minus strand of NC_000004.12, from coordinate 130,218,895 downwards.
ATAAATCAATGGAACAGAATAGAGAGTCCAGATATAAGTCTTTGCTTTTTCAGCCAACTGATTTTCAACAAAGCTACCAAAAAAATTAGTGTGAAAAAGACAGTCTCTTGAATAAATGGTGGTGGAAAAACTGGATAACTACATGCAGAAGAATGAAACTATAGCCCTCTATGTCACCGTAAACAGATTTCAAATCAAAATGAATTGAACACTTAAATCTAAGCCCCCAAACTATGAAACTACTAAAAGTAAATATTGGAAAATACTTTCAGTTTATTGGTCTGGGCAAAGATTTTTTAGGTAACACCTCTACACTACAAGCAACAAAAGCAAATATAGACAAATAAAATTATATCAAGCTATGAAGCTTCTGCACAGCAAAAGAAATAATCAATGAAGTGCAAATACAACTTACAGAATAGGAGAAAATATTTGCAAACTATCCACCCAACAAAGTTTAAAAAACCAGAATATGTAGGAACTCAACTCAATAGCAAAAAAATGGTCGGATGCAGTGGCTCATGCCTATAATCCCAGCACTTTGTGAAGCCAAGGCGAGTGGATTGCCATAACCCAGGAGTTCAAGATCAGCCAGGGCAATATGAAGAATCCTTACCTCTACAAAAAAATACAAAAATTATCTGGGCATTGTGGCATGTGCCTGTAGTCCCAGCTACCTGGGAGGCTGAGGAGGAAGGATCACTTGAGCCTGGGAGGTCAAGGATGCAGTAAACTGTGATTATGCCACTGCACTCCAGCCTGGGCAAAAGAACAAGATCATGTCTCAGAAAAAAAAAAAAAAAGAACACCATAAACCAAAGAATATTATTTTTAAAAAGGCAAATGATATGAATAGGCACTTCTTAAAAGAAGACATACAAATGGCCAACAGGCATATGAAAAAATGCTTAACATCAGTAATCATCAGGGATATACAAATTCTAACCACAATGAGACTTTGTCTCATCCCAGTTAAAATGGCTATTATTAAAAAGACAAAAATTAATAGATGCTGGCAAGTATGCAAAGAAAGAAAAACTCTAGTAGACTGCTGGTGGGATGTAAATTATTATAGTCACTATGGAAAACAGTATGGAGGTCCTTCAAAAAACTAATAATGGATATACCATATGATACAGCAATCACACTACTGGATATTTATCCAAAATAATAGAAATCCTTCTACCAAAAGTTACCTGCATGCCATGTTTACTGCAGCACTATTCACAATAGCCAAGACATGAAATCAAACTAAGTGTCCATCAATGGATGAATGAAGAAATGTGCTATATATGCATAATGGAATATTATTAAACCATAAAAAGAGTGATATTCTATCATTTGCATCGACATGGATGAAACTGGAGGTCATTATTTAATGTAAAATGAGCCAGACACGGAAAAACAAATATTGCATGTTCTCATTCATACGCAGGAACTAAAAAAATGGATTTCATGAAGGTAGTGAATAGAACGATGGTTACCCATGGCTGGAAACATTGGTGGGGGGGTGTGTGGAGTGGGGAGAGTGATAAAGAAAGGTTGTTTAATGAGTAAAACATACAGTTAGATAGAAGGAATAAGTTCTAGTGTTACATAGAACAGTAGGGTGACTATAGTTAAGAATTATTTATCGTGCTCTTCAAAATAGCTGGAAGAGAAAATTTGAAATATTTTCAACACAAATGATCAATGTTTGAAGCAGTGAATATCATATTTATCCTGATTTGATCGATATACATTGTATGTGTATCAAAATATCATGTATACTCATAAATATGTACAACTATTTTATATCAAAACAAGAAAAGGATTAATTAGTAAATTAGTATGATATAAGTTCATAACATGGAATATACACCTAAGTTAATAAGAGAACAATCAAATAGAAGCACATTATTTTTTCACAAAGAAGTCCAAGTTTGTATGGTATGTAGTTCTGCTTTTCAGAAGCATTAGAGATCAAAATACTTCTATTTTATAATATGTCATCCCTTTCTTATGAGGTCTACAACAGATGACCACCACATCTGGCAATGAACATGCAGGAAGGAGAAAGGGTAAAGGTGAAAGAGAAGTTATATCCGTCTACTTTAAGGCATAACAAACTGGTTAAGTATATCACTTTTTCTCACATCTCATTGTCCCAGAAAAGTGAGTGTGCTTGACCAGATTTTGGAGGTGCATAATAATTGTTAGTAACAAAATATTTTATGAAAAAAAACTATCATTTTCAGGAAAACATCTTAATGAGGAGCATTAGTTAGAAGGAAGCTTGCTTGTGAGAACAGAGTAGCAGGAGAAATGACTCCAAAAAAACAATTACATTGATGGGCATTACCAGCGACAGGGCATTTCAGGCTGGAGAGAATAGGAAAGCTGAAAGAGATACACGGAGCCGCATAAAAAGAAAAGGATAAAAAGATTTTTTTTTAACACAAGAAAATCAGGCATTCAATATTAACCAGCCTGTGTCCCTATGTTATAATTTATGGCTTCTATCTCTTCAGAAATGTTGAACAATTTCACAAAAGACTCATGTGTTTAGGCTTTTGGAGGGAATTAAAGGAAAGGGCTGAGTCCATATTTGGGTTGACACAGCAGTAAACATAAAGCAACAGCTGCAAGATGCATGAGTGGAGACAGAAACACAGAAGTAGCAAGAAGTAATCAAAAATATGACAAAAAAATGACAGTTTGAGGAATTTATAGAATTTCTAGGAAGGACTTTAGGTTTTTCCATAGAAAAGAGCATAGAATAGATATCAATTAACTTGTAAATTAATATAAGTTAATAAGAGAACAATCAAATAGAAGTACAGTATATCTTAACCTAGATCCTAATGGGTCGACAAGCCCTGCTGATAGGCAATTTACAAATCTTATGACGCTTTTAGAGTGGAAAGCACTATAAATTTCTTGCCAAGCAGTGTGAGTAGAGAAGAAAAAGAAGTTCTTTAATTCTAGCTAATCAAAAATCAATTAGAAGAACAAATTCAAATTATATAATTATTTCAGCAATGTAGTGAAATCAGCATATTATTTAATAGAAAACAGAGTTTCAGAGTTAAGTACATTAACTAAGATTTTGTAACAGAGTTAAGAACAGGATTTCAGGCCTGTGGCACTTGTTTATATGTCCTTTCCACAGTGTTAAAGCCCTCTGATCATAAAGTCTTCTTAGGTGTTTAGATTTATTAATTAACATCTGCTTGCCTGTCCTTATTTTTCTTCACGCAAAATTATCCTTAAGTTTTTAAACTAAGGAAGCTAATTGATTATTAGTTAGTAGCTGTATTAATGACATTATTTTTCATAGAAAATAAATTACCCTATATATGTTGCATCTGTGTATATATCTGTGTGTGTACACATATGTGTATATATATATGAATGTGTGTGTGTATACATGTATACGTGCTCTCTTTCAGATAACCATCCGTCATTCATTCTTTTATTCAGTCAATCAAAAAATATTGAACACCAATTACAGGTCTAAGGACTGTTCTAGATACCAGAAAAACCAAAGTAAATGGAACAAACAGATATATTCTTCATGTATGGTACATTCTTTTGGGAACAGCAAGCAATAAATCCACTCTTCAGAAGTCGTTTATTTCTGAAGCATTTATTTGGTAACTCCTTATCCATACTATAGGCACAGCATCTAACATTTATCTAATACTTAATCGTTTTCGAAGACTACCTGCTGTGCCCTAAGTCCTTAATTTACTCTTCATTCTAACCCTCTGAGATTAGTACTTTTCTCAGTTTTACAAATGAAGGAATTGAAGGATAGAAAATTGAAATAACTTGCTCAAGTTTACATGGCAAATAAGTGGCAGAGCCAGGAATGAAAACCAGAGGATCTGATTCCAGCACATGCTTATTATCACTATATATGACCTCTGTTTCTCTCCCTTGCAGAATGATGGGAAATATGGATATAGAATATTTCCTAATAGGACCTGCCTTCATGCATGTATAATCTTATTTTTCTCTTGAAGTTATCATCCTTATTTTGGTGTATATACATATTTAATGCCAACCATTTGTACAGTGTTTATATGATGAAATCATTAATAAAACTGAATGTGAGAAAGTGTGACCACTCAGTATTCTTAGACATAAGCAAAAGTGATGACATAAAAAGAAAGGAAAACACTCCTCTTTATTACCAGAAAGTGCATTTTCTCCTGCTTTACTGAAAAATGAACAGCCAGAAAACGCTTGGCTAGATGAGCCTAAAAGCAATCATCCACTACTGCTCTTTTTAAAATGAAATATTCAGTACAGCAAGATAAAATAAGGGACCATGAAAAGGGGTTTGGGAACATAAAACTAGAAGGTAGATTCTGTTGGAGCATTTCATGGAATTGGAAAAAGATCTCCCCTCCAGGCCTGCCAGTGGTGATGAAGCTGGACGTGAGAGTTCCAGTAATCAGTCTCAGTACAGCTGCAAACGGAAGTGCAATCAGAATTGTGGTTTTTTTGTAGTTTTTTTTTTGTAGTTTGGATTACAAGAGAAAAAAAATTAGATGTGTGTGTCAATAACAACCTCTATTTGCACCTGGTAATTCATTGTCCAAATAATACTTTTGGAAAAACCAAAAACTTCGTTAAACTTTAAGGAGTGATTTCTACCTAGTTTAGCTGTAGATTTTTATTATGCTCTTTTCAAAAATGCACTTAGGTTTATTTAAGACCTCTTTATTTTGGAATGGATGGGTATTTCCAAATATATTACATAAGAGACTTTCTAAAAATTGTGAAATAATAGATGAATAAAAACAAGGGAGATAAATGTCTTGTATCTCTCTATCAGACAGCAGAGAGGTACAGGTATAATTTTCTGAATTAATTTCTAAAGACAAACATAATTTTAATGTATTTAGAGAATATGCCTTTCTATTGCTATTTGATAAAATTAGACCATAATGCAAGTGTATGTCTCTATGTGTGGATTCCCTATGAGAAAAGGCAATAAGTAAGCACAGTGTGAGCTCAGTCTCACTGTGGGAATACTGAGCATCAGAAGGTAAAAAATAGTCAAAATCTTCAATATTCCCTTTCCCCATATTTTTCTAATTCATATTTCAGTCAAAATTAATTTAAAAATAGATTCCTTAATCTGTATTCTCAATTTGTTTTCTTTAATTTCTTTTTTTTTTTCTTTGGAGACAGAGTTTCACTCTGTTGCCAGGCTGGAGTGCAGTGGCGCGATCTCAGCTCACTGCAACCTCTGCCTCCTGGGCTCAAGCGATTCTCCTTCCTCAGCTTCCCGAGAAGCTGGGACTACAGGTGTGCACAATGCCCAGCAAATTTTTGTATTTTTAGTAGAGACGGGGTTTCACCATGTTGGCCAGGATGGTCTCGAACTCTTGACCTCGTGATCCTCCTGCCTCAGTCTCCCAAAGTGCTGGGATTACAGGCGTGAGCCACCATGCCCAGCCCTTTAATTTGTTATATTGGGTTTGTAAGGCACATAGATTAATTGATTAAACTGTGTGTAGCACACTGAAATAATTTATTCCTCTTCCAAAGCCTCGAAGGAGAAAGACCAGATATTGCTCCTTCCTTGCCTCTCTAAGTCACTCTACTCTTCTCGGTATTTGTGGCCCTTCAGGTCTGAGGCAAAAGCCTCATGGTTTAATACACATGGCAGGGAATACCGAAGGCATACTCTCTACTCACTTAGACTCAATTTTCAATTTACCTCCTATCAACAAATATTTCAATATATCCTAAAGGGTAAATAAGACTATAGAAAAATGAATAGAATGTACCACTGATTGTATTTAGAATTTTTTTTTATTAAAATAACTTCCATCTTTTCATTCATCACTTCTGGGTACACTGCAATGGTGATGACTGTCATGTGTTGTAGAGCCACAGAGGCATATGCATGTGGGATTAGTAGAGAAATTGAACCTATTTTCCTTTAATTCTCTCCCTTTAGAACTTCCCTTTAATTCTCTCTTTCTTTTTCTCTTTGTAAAAGCTGTAAGCCAATCAGTGTTGTTGGTTATGAATCAGGTAGCAATTGACTGATTAGTTTCAATTGGTTGTAATGAGCAAAAGTTCCCGGAAAATTTCTTGCCCTTTCCATGCTCTCTGAGAACACATTGAAGTAAATCAAGTTCAGTTTTGAGAATCAAAATGAATCAAGAAAAACAACAAATTTAATGAGCTGTAAGAAAGCTCTATTAGGATTGAACAAAATACAGGAACTGGTCTAGGGTATCTATAACCACTCAAAGGGCATTCAATTTATAAATTCCACCCTGATTTAGGCTGCTTTCCAGAGTTGAAATAAAAAAAGTAAATCAATTGCTCATATGAATTCTAACTAAAGAATTTTAATTTGCTTTGCGTATTGATTAGATTTATGGAAAAATTATTCAACTGCCAGATTTCTTCTACATATACAATCTAAAATGAACATAATTTATTTTAGCTCACAGTTTCACTACATAAGTTGTATATTATTTAAAATGTTTTCTCATATGTTCCCAAAAGTGATATAGATGTGAATAATGCATAAATAAGTCTGTAAATTGTGTACATAACTTCTGATTATTTTATTTTGAAAAGGGAAAAATAATTTGACCCACCTACTTTACTTTTTCATTCTAGGCTAGATAGTATATTGGTTCAATTAATGGTCATATATTTTAATTTAGCCTGGCTTTGTCACTTAAAAACTTGTTGAGATTCAAAACTTCTGCTTTCTCATAGGAAAACATCAAAATTATCTTTAATGTTTTGTGAGGTTTAAATAAGAAAATACCTATAGAATGGTAAGTGTAGTGTTCTTGCTGAGTGATCAACTAAATGATTAAGTAGTTACAAAACACAAAAATATAAGTAAAATAAATGGGAAAAAGATCAAGTGATAACAACAAATATCCTCCATTACAAAATACATTTTTTCTTTGTCATCTGAGCCTGAGAGAATATGAATACTCTCTCTCTCTCTCTCTTTCCCGACTAAATGAAACTATCAATCCACCAACACATTTCTAAATTTGGATGCAGACATGCTTTGGTTTGCTTATAGCAAAACATTTTCTATGTAAATGAATTGCTTCTTCTGAAGCAGTATTCTTGTCAAATGTATATCTCAGACAAAATAGCTAGAATTCAGTCAATAATAGCACATTATCTCACGGGCCTGACCTTCATTAAGAACAATGTAGAACATCATTAAAATGTGTCAAGAGTAATTTAAAATATAACTTTTTTGATGTAATAATAAGAATTTGTCATATTTATAACAAGTACAGACTCATTAACAACAAAAATATATGTATTTCTAATCATTCCATAGATAACCACAAAAGATTTGTTTTGTAATAATTAGAGTTGAGAAGTTGAAGGTAGGAGAAAAGTAGAAAGATTTGGAAAACATCTACTTTCATTTTAGAGTGATAGCTTTTTAAAAGATAGGATTGAAGTCTTTATCTTTTCTACTTATTTTGTTCCCAGAGCAAGCTTAACTGCTTTCTAGCTTTCCCATTTGGGTTCCTTTTTCAGTACCTTGGTGTTAATATTTGAAAGATCATCCACATTTTGATACATTTTAAAAAATAAAGCCACTTGAAGCCAAATAGCATATTTCAGGGCTTGAAATGTAACTTAGCTCCATCATTAGGTATCTGCTGCATAACTTGAAATTTTACATTCTATGCCACTTCACCAACATTTCTAGAAACTTTTAGAAATGATTAGAAATACCAGAGGAGAGAACTCAGTACTATTAGAGAAGTTTAGTGATTCAAAGAGATGCTATGGAAAACAACATCCAAATGACTCAGAATTAATTTTCCCCTGCTGGGAGAATGCAGCTTATGCTTTTCCCCAGGGAAAATTGCATTACTCACACTTAGTACTTCCAACTGGGCTTCTGTGTATTTTTGTTATTGAACAAACACTGGGAAATGGCAGGGGCACATCTACATGTACTTTACAGTAGTTCTCTGTGTTTGTTGTTATGTCTCCCTAGCAGCTTTTTCCTACCCGACTTTTTACAGCCCCTCCAGACCTCAGGAGTAAGAATGTGAACTGGGCAAGACTGGCAGCTGTCCTCCTTCAATTTTTAAAGTTGGAATAAGCAGGAAAGTCTGTCTTTGCTTCATGACCCATGACCCTGTGAACAGGACACTAGACTCACCTGTTTCTATCCATTTAACAAATGTTGTTTGTGTCCACACCATGAGCCAGTAAGCATTCTACATCCTGAGGACTGAGCAATTAACATGGCAGTTGTCTTGGAGCTATAATCTCTGATCTCAGTCATGAGGAAAAGATGATAAAATGAAAATAGCCCAAATGAAGAAACATTTTAGGTGATATTTGTGACCTATCTTATTAAGTCCTCCAAAATTTGTATCTTATCTTCAAACCCCTATTTGTCCTATATTGGGTTTCAACAAGTTTGCATGCAATAACATCTTGTAGACACAAATTTCCAAAAAACAAATTAAAAGTTCACTACTATTAGATGTATCACAAATTATAAACTTATGTGACTATTAAATTCTTCACTCTTCTATTAATTCCCTCAATTTGTATTATGAGAAAATATATTACTTGTACTACTCGCCAAAATGAAAAAAATCATTTATTACCCAAGGTTTAATTATTAGAAGAACTTGAGAATTAAGCTAAATGAGCAATATTAGTTAGAAAGAATGACTGACATCATCAGCTTCTGTTTTAAATATATCTGTAAACCAGGAGATATTTTCTAAAATCACAGAAATATATTTACATATTTCCTTCTCTGACATGCAAAAGTGAGATAAGGTTTTGACTATATGTTCAATATATTAAAAGATAAAATAAACACTATTTGTACTAGCAGCTGAATACCCATAGAAAATAATGGCAAAGTCAAATTATATCAAACAAAAAAAATTTATTGAGTCCCTACCTCTATACAGAGTGCTCTGTGAATTATTTTCAGTTGTTTATAATAACCTAAGAAAATGTCACCTTTTCCAAGGATCTAACAAGCTAGTTGGGGAAACCAGATAGTTAACTACAAAATGAACAAAAAGGACTTAAATTAACAGTTCAAGAAAACAGAAATATTTTCCTGTAAAGCACATATTTAATTACTACATTAATTTTAGCAGTAAATGATTAGGTGTTTTGCAAAGACATTTTCACAAGTTTTTTTTCTGTTACTCATATTTTAATACATGCTCTTTCTATTCTATTATATAATGATTAAATATAACCTGCAACATTTACAATATAACATTCACTTATTGCTGAATTAGCCAAAGATTTACAGATTTGTGTATTTTTTCCATACATATGTACTTCTATGTGTAATAACCTTTCCATATGGGTGTATGCACCTTTTCCATATAGAATAGGGGGATAATGAATAAATGCATCTCTTTTTTTAACTTACCCCTTTAAATTTGAATGTTTAGTTTGAGCACTTGGAAGCATTTGGGTTGCCTGAGAAGAAAGGTGAGGGTGTCTTCCATGCTTTTGAATGCCGAGGAGCAAGAGATATCCTAAATACAGTCACCTGTGTTTTAAGGAAATAAGAAATGAAATTAGGAAAATTTGTTGTTGGTAATCTAGCACAATATGAAAAAGTATGCTAAAATTTGGGAGATTTATCTCTAGAAAACAGAAAACCACTAAGGATTTTTTTAAAAAGGAAGCAAGAAAATGTAATATTTTAAGGATAAATAGTTACTCAAGAGGGTCTCTCTAAAATGAAGAAATCTATAGGCAGGGAAACCATTTAAGAAGTTATTTAAACAGTAGAATTTTGATGCAATAAAGAGAAAACTAATTGAGAGATCAGTAAAAGTATATGGGAAGTAAATAGGATAAGCAATCTACCCTAATAATTCTGCTTATTATTGCATATTAGCAAAGAGGACATAAAAATTTCAACATTCAAATGAAACAAAAGGAGAAAAGAAATATGCAAAAGTATATTTATAATGATTTTAAGTTACATCGACCTACTTGTATACATGTTTAATCTAGGATTTTTTTACATAACAAATCTTAAAATTGAATTTATCCATATTTTGTATAAAATTTAACATATTGCAGTAAATAATAATAATAAACTAATATCAACATCAAGAAAGCAAATCTTCACCCAAAATGTGTCTATAATTCAATGACCTTTCACATTTTGTGTTTCATGTCAACATAACTCAAGTATTTGTTCTTTGCTTAAAAATTTTTCCAAAGTTATTACATATGAGGTTAGTAGTGAGAAGTTAAATATGTTGATTTATTTTTTCTGTATCTATTCCCCATAATTGCAGCATTCACTTTTCAAATGATATTTAAAATCTAAAGGAAGATTAATATAGTACTGAATAATGGTGGCACACATGTAAAACATTAACACTGCCCTTTACCCATCTTGAATATTTCACATTTATTTATTTAAAATATGAGCAGTGCCACGTGGCTTTAAGCATCTGGCATACAGATGGAGAATTGTGGGTATCAAAATATCAGATCTATTTTGGTGGAGTAATGAATACCCCTGCGTATGTTGTCTTTGAAAAAGAAAGTTTGGTCGTTTTGTGCAAAGTGCAAGAAAAAAAACTAGAATGTTATGGTTAAGTTGGAAAAATAATGTGGATGCATTTAAGGCATTTCATATAAGATAAATGTGTTTGGAAAAGACACACCATTTCAAATAAAAATTCAAGATTAAAATAGACCTTGATGAGAAAACAGCGTGGTACTGGTACCAAAACAGAGATATAGACCAATGGAACAGAACAGAGGTCTCAGAAATAACATCACACATCTACAACCATCTGATCTTTGACAAAACTGACAAAAACAAGAAATGGGGAAAGGGTTCCCAATTTAATAAATGGGAAAACTGACTAGATATATGTAGAAAGCTGAAACTGCATCCCTTCCTTACACCTTACACAAAAATTAATTCAAGATGGATTAAAGACTTACATGTTAGACCTAAAACCATAAAAACTCTAGAAGAAAACCTAGGCAATACCATTCAGGACATAGGCATGGGCAAGGACTTCATGACTAAAACACCAAAAGCAATGGCAACAAAAGCCAACATAGATAAATGGGGTCTAATTAAACTAAAGAGCTTCTGCACAGCAAAAGAAACTACCATCAGAGTGAAGAGACAACTACAGAATGGGAGAAAATTTTTGCAATCCACCCATTTGGCAAAGATATCCAGTATCTACAAAGAACTTAAACAAATTTACATTTACAAGAAAAAATCAACCCCATCAAAAAGTGGGCGAAGGATATGAACAGACACTTCTTAAAAGAAGACATTTATGTGGCCAACAGACACATGAAAATATGCTCATCATCACTGGTCATCAGAGAAATGCAAATTAAAACCACAATGAGATACCATCTTACATCAGTTAGAATGGTGATCATTAAAAAGTGAGGAAACAACAGGTGCTGGAGAGGATGGGGAGAAATAGGAATGCTTTTACACTGTTGGTTGCAGTGTAAACTAGTTCAACCATTGTGGAAGACAGTGTGGCAATTCCTCAGTGATCTAGAACTAGAATTGCCATTTGACCCAGTGATCCCATTAATGGATATATACTCAAAGGATTACAAATCATGCTACTATAAAGACACATGCATAGGTATGTTTATTTGTGGCACTATTCACAATAGCAAAGACTTGGAACCAACCCAAATGTCCATCAATGATAGACTAGATTAAGCAAATGTGGCACATATACATCATGGAATACTATGCAGCCATAAAAAAAGATGAGTTCATGTCCTTTGTAGGGACATGGATGAAGCTGGAAACCATCATTCGGAGCAAACTATCACAAGGACAGAAAATCAAACACCGAATGTTCTCACTCATAGGTGGGCATTGAACAATGAAAACACTTGGACACAGGGCGGGTATCATCACACACTTGGGCCTGTCTTAGGGTGGGGGGAGGGGAGAGGAGGGAGGGGAGAGGGATAGCATTAAGAGGAATGTCTGATGTAAATGATGAGTTAATGGATGCAGCACACCAACGTGACACATGTATACATATGTAACAAACCTGCACGTTGTGCACATGTACCCTAGAACTTAAACTATAATAAAAATAATAAAATAAAATAAAATAGTGCTTGATGGAAGATGAAGTGTTACTTTTAGGAAGAAGCAGCTGATAATGGGTGTAAGAGCACAGGTAGAGGTGTTATCTCTCACAAAGACTGATGCATCTTCTGGTAAGCTACAGAAAGAAAAACATCAGTACACAGTTGGATGCAAGATCATCTACTAAGATAATTTAATGAAGATGAGTGAATATATCAAATCAAACCTTCATAACCAAAGTTGCTAGGCATTAGAAACCCAAATGGAGATGTTGCAAAGAATCACTATGCACTTTTTCTTTTCTAAGTAAAGCAACCTCAAAAACTTCAGATTTATTTACCACTCAACTCCCTTCCTCATGTTTGTTTGTTTTTAGCCTTATGTGTTAGAATTTGTGCCTCTAACTGATTCCCACTGACACAAACTCTTTTGAAATGCACTCAAGATTCTCCACATTGTTTTGAAAGAGAAGTGTCACATACTACACACAAGAACTAGAATTCCAAAATCAGGGAGATAGAGGCAGTCTGGGTGTTATGTAGTAACTGTGTGAGCCACACACTGTGTAATCACACTGGAGTAAGGTAAGCATAAAAAATAGAAAATACATAAAACTTATTAGAATGCTAGAATATATGTTTCCAGAGTGGCAGAAAAAAGTGTTTAGTTCTCATGCAAATTAGGTGACCTGACAAAAAATTAATTAAATTATATGAGAAAATACATGTCTTTCTTGATTAGTCTATGGTATTTGAATCAAATTATTTGTTTTGAAAGATTTACCAGTTCAAGCTTTTTTTCAGATACATATGAGTCCAGAAATAATAACTCAATCTACATTTATATCAAAGCATTTTATCTATAAAGAAGATAAATAGATCTATTAGTTCCAAGAATTTCACTGAAAGTCACTTGGAAGTCAACTAAATTGAGGTAATATACGTTGAACAGTGAGTAACTTTAGATTTCCAGTAAAGTTTTCGTTTTAACTTTAGTATGTCATTGTGCTTTTGCTTCTTTGACTCTTCAAGTTTTTCATCATTTTTCTTTATCAATTAATTTACTCCCCTTTTTGGCAAGGACAGTCAGGCAAGGATTATTTTCAACCTCAGGTGTTTATGTTGGAAATTAAATCATGGTGTCTGTTGTCCATTCCTTGCAATATTAACCTCAAAACTCTTTATATAACATTATATGTATATATGTGTACACACACACACACGAAACATTTTCTGCCTTCAAGTTAAAATCTTAATTTTCCTTCACTAGACTTAACAGAACAGCTTTAGAAATAGGACAAGTAATTATCTCCCTTATAAAGGAAAGAAGCAATTAAATTCCTTTAGATGGGATTTAATTGCATTTCAGCCCCAGAAGCTCCCCATATTCCATTTGAGTCAATATTTTATTAAAGAAATAATAAATCATTTCCAAAGAAAGATTTTCAAAATAAGAAATAAAAAAATTTTTTGATATAAATGAAAAAATTTGTTGAATTATACTCAACAAATATATATATATATAAATGAATATATATATATTTGTTCAAAATACTAGTGAACAAGAGAACTTGAATCAGTATGCAATTTGAGAAGAATGTATGCTTCTAAACTGCTAATATAACAAACAATTGACTAATGAACAATTATTTGGCCAATTATAACTACTTCCATCTTCAAAACATAAACCAATATTTACTCAAAACAGCCTTACTTTTATTGTTGCTGCTGTGTATTCTTTCTGCTTTGCTTTTTTTCTTAATCTGAGGTATCCTATTCCCTCATTTCTAGATCTAGAGATTTAGGCAAGTGAATTATCCATTTAAGTTATTTGAATATATATTGTTTTACTTCCATTAACATAATAATTTTATAAAAATAGGAAATATAGAAGAATTGCTTGCAAATTAAATAAAGCTTATTAAAAATGCTATCTTGCTGTTAATAAACATTTCATAGCAGCTTCAAGGTGGGATAGGATTTGCAAAATCTATGAAATCCTGGGTTTGAAACTCATTATTGCCATTAACTAGTTATTTATATTGGACAGACTTAGGACCAAATACAACAGGTGTGGTCATTATTTCTCCATCTAATGATTATATAATACAGTTATCTCTTGTTATACTCGTGTGATTGGTTCCAGGACCACCGCATATACCAAAATCTGCACATACTCAAATCCTGCAATTGGCCCTACAGAACCCTTGTATATTAAAAATCAGCACTCCATATAAACGAGTTTTGAATCCCACAAATACTGTAATTTCTATCTGCATATAGTTGAAATAAAGTCCAGGCATAAGTGGATTTGTGTCATTCAAACCCCTGCTAAGGGTCAACTGCATGTTTTTTGTCTAATCTGATATATCTTCCAGTTCTGATAATGGCATTTAAAATTTTCTTTTAGAAATTTCATCCATGGGATTCTAGTGGACTTGTCGAGGGCACATTTGAGTTGAGCATGTGACTAGGCCAGTCAGATTATTCCACATATATGTACACAGCTACTGTCTAGGAGTAAATGCTAACCCACAGCAGGGCAGTCTGTGTACTTTTCCGATACTGTTTGCTGTGAGAGAGAAATAAACCTAGAATTGTCAGAGGTATTCTGCTGTACATGGAGGAAGCCTGCCTAAGAATTAAGCCAATACAGAGTAAAATGGAGTCAAGCTATGAGAAAAACAACATAGATTTGAAGTTATTTTGTTAAAGCATTTGGATCTACCCCTTTCAAGGCCAGCATTAAGGCTTCACATACTCTCTATTGTGAGCTACATGGCCTAATGTTGTTACAGGATCCTTGGGGTGTCAGTTTTCTGGCCAGAAACCCCTGTGGCTGGTGGCCTCTTTGCTCAAGTTTTGCTCAGGCCTGGTGGGCTCGTTTCACCCACTTGGCCTGGCAGGCTGTGCTCAGCTCATGCTATCAGCCTGGATCCCACACTCTCCAAGGATGAGCCAGTTGTGGAGCTGCGAGTGTGTGTGAGTGAGCATGGGGTCCAGCCACTGACACAGTCAGGCACGCTGGCTGCTGCAGCAGGACAGGCAGTTCCAGGTGCCAGCATGGGCAGCCACTCTTTGAGAGGCTGTGGCTGTCCCAGGCACACAGCAAGCAACTTCCACAGCTGGCACTGGGGACAATGGTGGTGCCCAGAAGCTTGGAAATGCCAGGAACTGCAGGGCCCTAAAGAAGGAGTCACAGCCCTGGCTCCAGGAGCTCCCAGAACTGGGTTCCCCAAAGGGCCAAAGCTCTTCTCTCTTTCTCTTCAGCCACAATGTGGTGAGCAATGGGTATGTTTCAGCCTTGGTTGTGTTATATAGCTCTTTTACCTCCCTATTCATCAGATCCCCAGTTATTATCCTATAACCAGGAAGAATGAGGTAGGCAGATAAGTGAAAGGTGAGCAAGATGAAGAGGAGCTTTATTGAGTGACAGAACAGCTCAGAGGAGACCCACAGAGGTAGCTCCTTTCTGCAGCTAGGGTGTCCCGTCAAGTGTTTAGCTCCCAGCATAGAGAGATGGTAGTGCCTCTCTGCAGCTGGTTGCACTGTCATCTGCTCAGCTCTGGCTGAGTCCAGACCTTTTGGGAGGTGAAACCAGCTGGGCTTCTGGGTTGGGTGGGTACTTGGAGAACTTTTGTGTCTAGCTAAAGGATTGTAAATGCACCAATCAGCACTCTGTAAAAACACACCAATCAGCACTCTGTAAAATGGGCCAATCAGCACTCTGTAAAATGGACCAATCAGAGCTCTGCAAAATGGACCAATCAGCAGGACGTGGGTGGGGCCAAATAAGGGAATAAAAGCTGGCCACCCCCGCCCTCCAGCCAACAGAGGCGACTTGCTCAGATCGTCTTCCACTCTGTGGGAGCTTTGTTCTTTTGCTCTTCACACTGCTGCTGACTGTTTGGGTCTGTATTACCTTTATGAGGTGTAACACTCACAACGAGGGTCTACAGCTTCATTCCTGAAGTCAGCAAGACCGCAAACCCACTGGGAGGAACAAACATCTCCAGACGTGCCACCTTTAAGAGCTGTAACACTGGCTGTGAAGGTCTGCAGCATTACTCTTGAAGTTACCGAGACCAGAAACCCATTGGAAGTAAGAAATTCTAGACACATCTGAACATTTGAAGGAACAAACTCCAGATACCATTTTAAGAGCTGTAACACTCACTGCGAGGGTCTGTGGTTTAATTCTTGAAGTCGGTGAGACCAAGAACCCACTGGAAGGAATAAATTCCAGACATATTTTGGCACCCAACATGGGACACAATTTTATGAGCCTCAGAGGAGGAGAGGAAGTGTGCACTGACTGGTCCAAGGAGAGCTATGAGTGGGCCAGGAAAGGCACCACAAGTTCACACTTCTGTCCATGGACTGGCAGCCTGGTTGGCAACCTTCAGACCGTGCCTGGCCTGAAGATCCTGCCTCACCAGGGATCTGCCCCACCCCCTTCTGCCTATGAGCCTGTCTGTCTACTGTCATCCCTGTGGCACCCAGGCTGCTGGCACCAAGGAACAACTGCAGGCCAACACGGAGCAGCCCTCAGCCTCCACTTGGCTTCCCCTCATGCTCATTGGCACCCAAATTCGGCAAGAGGCTGAAGCAGCAGGGGGCTGCTGCATCAACACTGTCTCAAGCGTGACCACACCTACCGGGGCTGTGACAGTACCTGGGCTTGGTGCCAACCCTACTCTGAGACTGGAGAGGGCATCAGTAGTGGGGAAAGGCCAGGCAGTGGAAGCAGACACCCATAAGCCTGCAGGGGAAGGAAAGGCCTTCCCAGACACCAAGGGTGCAGAGTGCAGAGATGCCCATGTCCTTACAGCCTGGGGCGGGGGCTCCAGGTCTTTGCTGGTCCCCTCTCTGCCTGCCCCTCTGTTCCTGACCACACTGCTCCCCTGCCAGATGTAGGCTTGGCCAGCCCCATCACAGCAGCCCCCAGGGCAGTGGGCTTCACGGGGGATCTCACTTGTCCCTGCCTCCTGCTGGGTCCCTGAAGCTTGGCAGCACTCTGGGCCCAGCTCCACCTACGCCCTGTGCCCTCCCTGCAGCAGTGGTGGGCAAGAGAAGTGATGCAGGGTTAGGCTCCAGAGCGGCACAAGTTCCAGGCCTGGCAAAAGGTCTCACCTGGCCACACAAGGATGACAACAGCACAGTTGGCTGCCTCAGGGAAGCAGGGCACAGGGGACCCACTGCTGCCATTGCTGATCCAGCAGCTGCTCCTGCCACCATGCCTGCGCCTCCCCACTGCACCCAGCATGATGTCAGCAGCTCTTCTGGACTGCCCTCTGTTGCCATCGGTATTCTAAACACGATTGAATTATATTTCCTTATCTGAGTAGGAGAGTCCTGACTATTACCACATTGGGCCTGGCCTTGCCTTCCCTTCCCTTCCCTTCCCTTCCCTTCCCTTCCCTTCCCTTCCCTTCCCTTCCCTTCCCTTCCCTTCTTTTTCCTTCCTTTCCTTTCCTTCCTTTCTCTTCTTTTCTTCTCTCTCTCTCTCTCTCTCTCTCTTTCTTTTCTTTCTTTCTTTTTTTTGAGACAAGGTCTGTGTCTATGGGCCAAGGTGGAGTGTAGTGGCCAGATCTCAGGCTCACTGCAATCTCTGCCTCGTGCCCTGAAGCCATCCTCTTACCTCAGTCTCTCAAGTAGCTCAGGCAAGTGTGCACCACCACACCTGGCTAATTTTTGTATTTTTTGTAGAGATAGAGTTTCACCATGTTGCCAGGCTGGTGTCTACCTCCTGAGCTCAAGGGATCTGCCTGCCTCAGCCTCCCAAAGCGCTGGCATTACAGGCACACCTGGCATATACCACACAGAATTCTGATAAAAAGAACACATGAAAAGTGTTTACCAGAGAACATGGATATAGTGAGCCCTCAATAAAGAGTATCAAATTATAAATGTGTATCCTACTATTTCAATCATGTTAATGATGATAGACATGATCAATTGCATGGTTATGTGAACCAGAATGCCAGGATGTAAATACAACTATTGCTACAAAATTATAATGACTTTGAAAAAGTCAGTTAACCGCACTAAACTTCAGTTTCTTCATTAAGAAAGTAGGGGAGGAGTGGAAAATGATACTATCATGAATTTAGGGGAAAAATAATTAAATGTTAATATACAAAGGCAAATTATGTAATAGAACTATTATTTGTATTGTTTTCTTATATATGTTATTTACAAACTATTATATTGAAAGGAAACTTAAATATCCTTTAATCCAATCATCCATCTGATGCTTAAATTCCCTTGCCAAAATCTGACAAGTTGTCTTTCATCTATAGTTAAATACCTCCAATGACAGTAGTGTCACCTCATTTGAAGAGAGGTTATCTCCCAATTTTAAACAGTCCTTTCTATACTGATCCAAAAAGGTGTGTTCTTAAAAGCTTCTACTCATTGAGCTATTTCTATCCTTATCTCATGCAAATTTATATTTATGCCTCCTCCATATGACAGTCTTTCAAGCGACTAAAGGCATGTATCATGTGCCTCATAAGTAAGGTTGCCATAAAATTTGCTGCCAAAATTGAGACACTTTTGTGAGTAAAAGGATTAGCATTAGAAATTATGCCAGGATACCAGGTATAAACCTGGATTATGCCATGGAAACTGGGTAAACAGTGTTTTCAACTCTTTTCATGATACAGGACTGGTTTACTTTAATGTTACCATTTTGATATGTTTGAATCTTCATTTTAGGTTATGGTCCCCTATAGCCGAATGCAGCACTCCAGTAGAAAATAAGTGTGTTCAAATGCTCTGCAGAAGAGTTTATCAAAGCAACTCTGTAGGCAGAACAAATACTCAGATAATTGCAGCATTTTGCAACAAATGTTTTTTTTTTTTGTTTCAGTATATTCTGATCACTCAGCTGTGAGCTATGTGAATGTGATTAAGACCTTAGAAAGAATATAAGATTTGATTTTATCACTACACAAAGCGAAAGACTATGTATGAGCTATGAGTAGAAAAACAAAATTGATTATGTTCAAAGATTAAACAGAGAGAAATGAATATATAAATGACATGACTGCAGAAGCCAGAGCAACATCTATCTATAAATCCTCTATTAAGCAGCTGAAAATTTAGAATGAACATTTAAATAACTTGGCAAAGAAACAAAAACATTTATATGCATATGTTCATTTGTTTGTGTGTGAATGTGTGTGTGTATTTTACTGTATATTCTTACCAGTAGTTCACATTTATAGAGTAGTTGTATTAGTGCTGTATATTATTGGTAAATTCAGCTTACAGATTCTTTCCTAGGTCATTACACAATATCATTCAGTAGTTATTAGTTGTAAGTGGTACTTCAAATGTTTCAAATAAAAAATTACCAAAAAAAATGCTAATTATATAAAAAGTCTAGGATTTCCTGAATCCCATTTTGTAGGAGGTAAAATTAAGGAAAATCACGTTTTGATTTTCTCCAATATGATTTCTCTCTCTCTCTTTCATTCTCATTTGTATGTATGAAAGATCAATTGACTTCATATATTTCCATTGATAATTGCATTTAGCACTAATCTGTAAACATGCTGTGTTCCTTCTTGAAATCAGCAAAGTAAAATTTCATAACAAGTTTGGATTAATTCATATCAGAGAACTCACAGAATGCAGAAAAATATTAATAATTATAATCTATAGTTTACTATAAGAATTATCCTTAAGATAAATTTTAAAGTATTTCTAACATTTATGTTATGTAAATCATAGTAAAATATAATATACTGCCATATTCTGGAGATAATCTTGATAGGAAAAGGTTAAGAATTAATATTTGAGTTTGAAAACACTTTAAAATACAAACTTTCGAGTCATTAACTTGCTTTGAATTTTTTAAATTGAATTTTTTATTGAGATAATTATAATTTCACATGCAGTTGTGAAAAGCAGTGCAGAGAGATTCTATGTTTCAGCCAATAGTAAAATTTTGCAAAGTTATAATGTTATATAACCAGCACAACATTAACATTGATACAATCCATCAATTCACTCAGATTTCTCATTTTACTTGTTCTTGAGTGTGTGTGTGTGTGTTTAGTTTGATACATTTTTTTATATGTGTAAGTTCATGTGTATATGACCACAGTCAATATACTGAACAGTTCCATCACCACAAGGATCTCTCATGTTGCACCATTCTTTCTTCCTTCCCAACCCACCTCCTACCTAACCACTGGCAACTAACACTCTTCTATTTATAAAATTGTGTCATTTAAAACAATGTAATATAAATGGAGTCATATGGCACATATGTGTTAGGTATTGACTATATTCATTCAGAATAATTGAATATTCCTTCAAGTTATTGCATGTAGCAATAGGCCAGTTTTTGTTGCTATGTAGTATTCCGTGGTATGCAGGTACCACAGTTATGTTTTGACATCAACTGTGGACATTGAAGGACATCTGGGTTGATTCTCATTTTTGGCTATTACAGATAAAACTAATATTACAAATAGTGCTGTTAACATTTATGTACAGGTTTTGAGTGAACATAAGTTTTCATTTTGCTGGGATAAATGACCAAGAATGCAATTCCTATGCCATATGGTCACTGCATATTTAGTTTTATACAAAAATATCAAATTTTTCTAGAGTGGCTGTCTCATTTTTCATTCTACCAGCAAGGCATAAGTGATTCAGTTTCTTCAAATCCTTGCCAGCATTTGATGCTGTCACTGTTTATTATTTAAGTTGTTCAGCTAGTTGTAGAGCTATATTTTATTGTGGTCTTCATTTGCACTTCCCTGATATCTATTGATGTTGAACTTTTCTTTATGTGCTTATTGTCTATATGTATATCCTCTTCTGTGAAATGTCTCTATTTTATTTGCCCATTTTCTATAGGTTATTTTGGTTGAATTTTGATAGTTCTTATATATTCTAGATACTAGTCTTTTGTCCAGTAGCAGCTGTGCAAATATTTACTCTCAATCTGTAGCTTGACTATTCACTATGTTCTCATGCACTTTTACAGAGCATAAGATTGTTACTTTTTTTTTTTTTTTTGGAGCTGTAGTTTTGCTCTTGTTGCCCAGGCTGGAGTGCAATGGCACAATCTCGACTCACCACAATCTCTGCCTCCCGGGTTCACACGATTCTCCTGCCTCAGCCTCCCGAGTGGCTGGGATTACAGGCATGTGCCACCACACCCAGCTAATTTTGTATTTTTAGTAGAGACAGGGTTTCTCCATGTTTGTCAGTCTGGACTCGAACTCCTGACCTCAGGTGGTCTGCCCGTATCAGCCTCCCAAAGTGCTGGGATTACAGGTGTGAGATTGCAATTTTGTAAGATTCAATTTATAATTTTTCCTTTTATACATTATGCCTTTAGTATCAAGTCTAAGAACACTTTGCTTAACCCTAGATCTAGATTTTTCACCTTTTTTTTCCCCCAAGAGTTTTATGGTTTTACATTTTGTATTAAGGCATGTGATTCATTTTGAGTTAATTTCTGTACAAGGTGTGAGACTAGCTCTAGGTTTTGTTGCTGTTGTCCTTGTTTGCCTATAGATTTCCAGTTGTTCCAAGCAGTATCTGCTGACAGGACCATCTTTCTTGCATTGAACTACTTTTGCAATTCTGTCAAAAATCAGTTAAGCTCTTTGTATAAGACTATTTCTGGGTTCTTTGTTCTATTCTAATGATCTATGTGTCTAACTCCCAACCAATAACACACCACACTTATACCACCTAATTATTGTAGCTACATAGTAAGCTTTGATGTCAGATAGAGTACTTCTTCCCAATTTATTTTTACTGATCAAGATTCTTTCAGCTCTTTAATGACCTACACATTTCTATATAGACTGTGCTTATCTATGTAAACACATATATTTGCTGGGATTTTGATAGAAATTGCATTAAACCTATAGATCATTGTAGGGAGAATTGACATCTTTACTATATCCAGTCTTTCAATCAATAAGCATAGTACAATTCCCATTTCTTTGGTCTTCTTTTATTTATTTCATCAACATTTTATAATTTTCAACATACAGATAACTGTACCTATTTTAACCATATGTGTAAGTATTTCATGTTATTTGGAGGCATTATAAATGGTATTGTATTTTTATTTTGGTTCATGAATATTCATTGTTAGCATATAGTGATATAATTGAATTTTTGTGTCGGTCTTGTATCCTTAGGTCTTGCTAAACTCAATTATTTTATGGAAGTGTTTCTGTAGATTTCTTGAAATTTTCTACAAAGACAACCATGTCATCTACAAATATAGTGGGATTTTTTAAACTTCTTTTTCAATCTGCATGGGTTTTGTTTCTTTAACTTTTTGCAATGGGTAGGACTTCCAGTGCCATATAGAATAAGAATGATAAGGGCAGACATGCTTGCCTTATTCATAAACTTAGATGGCAAAGGTTCAGTTTTCACCATTCTGTATGAGGTTAGCTATACATTTTTTTGTAGATGATCTTTGTCTTGTTGAGTATTAATTCCCCTATATTGAAAATTTGTGCTGAAAATTACTCTGATTCTTTTTCTGTGTCAACTGATATGAACATATAATTCAGTTTAGCTTATTGAGATTATTTCTTATATTGACTCATTTTCAAATGTTGACTCAGACATGAATACCTGGAATAAGTTCTACTTGATCATGGTATATAAGCCCTTTTATACATTGTTTGATTTGATTTGCTAATGGTTTGTTGAAGATTTTTGCATCTGAGTTAATGAAACATGTCAGATTGTAGTTTTCTGTGTTTGTGTATGTGTACATGAGTGTGTGTGTGTGTGTGTGTACTCTTTATCAGGTTGTGGAGTCAAGGTAATATTGGCCTCATAAAACAAGTTGAAAAGCCTCCTTTTTCTTCTATTTTGTTAAATGTTTGGTAGAATTCTTAAGTTTGCTGATTCTGTCCTCAGTCATTTACTATTGAGCTTATCTAGCAAGTTTTTTACTTTTGATATTGCATTTTTCAGTTTTGTTATCTTCATTTGACTCTTTCTTATAATTTATATTCATTTGCTTAGATTATTCTCTTTTTTCATTTGTTTCAAGATAATTTGTAATTAATTACGGAAACATTTTTAAAATTACTAATTTAAAGCCCTTTCCAGACACTTTCACCTATGATTTACCTTGGGGCTATTTTCAATTGATTGTATTTTCTCATTCAAGTCATGGTTTTCTTGGTTCTTACTCTAATCCATATTTGTAAATTGTGTGCTGGACACTTTATCCCTTCTTTTAGAAGCCTATGGATTTTATTCAAATATATTTTAGCAGATGATTCATCTATTTAGGTTGAGCACACGTTTTGATTTAATTTTGTGAAATATGTTTCCAATAGTAGTTTAATTTTCAGAGTCTTTGAGATATTATTCAGGTTTCCTTGGTTTACCTGGTGTAACTGGGGCTTTCTGGATATCTGATGGTACTGCCAGAGAGGATGAAAAGTGTTTTCCCAGTCTGGGGTGCCAAGTGTCTTAGTGGTGAAGCAGGGGTGTTGGAATCTTCTTACTAATGCTACTCAGCTGCTCTAATTTCTCTAGACAGAGAAAGAGGATTTAGGCCCATGGGGTCAAAGAGGATTTTTGGACCAGAATACTTACTGTTGATGTGTTCCTTCTCTGGTTCTCCCTGCCTGCCACGTGTCTCTGGGTGGAGGAGAAAGGGCTTGGGCTATAGGTTCAAAGAGCAAGTAGCTGGGCCACTTGCTGTAAGTAACCAGGTTCCTTTTACCAGTTCTGCCTGTATGCCCAACCCAATTTCCTTTTCAGGGTTTCAACATTCATGTAAAGATGGCAAATATAACACACTGAGCTAAAAGGATTAAAGGATTATTAGTTCACTTATAAACCATATCTTCCAAGTGCTAAAGTACATGTTGACAATGTCATATTGTCAAAATATTTAATTTTATAACACCAGACATTTTGTGATTTTGCAAAGAATATATAACATATATATATTTCAAGAAAATATGTTATATAAGAATATATAACTTATATCAGAAATTAACATATATCACATATATAAATCATATATAATATATAGAATATATAACATGTTTCACATATATAAATCATATATAATATATAATTATATATAATATATAAGATTATATATAAATGATATATGTGATGTTATATATAATATATAAGATTATATATAAATGATATATGTGATGTTATATATATTTTTGAAATCATATATTTATTTCAAAAATATATATTTCAAGAATATGTGTTATATATATTCTTGAAACATATATATGATTTTTCTATTTACCAAAAATATGTATTTATATGGAGCTATCCAAGCATGTAATAGCTAAGTATTACAAACTAAATATACAGAAAGTCCAAAGACTAGGATATTATAGAGTACCTTACTTCCTTTATAAATCTCTTTCACAATGTTAAAAATTAAAAATTACTTTTTATTTTAATCTGACCTATTGCCTGTAGCTTCAATTATCGTTCTCTCCCATAGAGAAAGGGAAATTAATAAGCAGTCTTCTGATAAAAACAACTCTTATGTTTGTTGTCATTTTTTTCAAATTGTCATAAAAATTTAGGAGGGGGTTGATAAAATCAACATGTTTTTATCCATGAGTTTTGATGTGTGTTTGTGTGTGTGTGTGTGTGTGTATGTATACATGTGTCTAAGACACAGACAGACATGCTCTTCTTTATCTGACTTGAATTCACATGAATTATTGCAGTCTGATATAGCGTATGTCTGCCTATTATTGTAACCAGGTGAATGCTTTTTACAGTAAACCTGGCCACCTTCATTTACACTTTGCTATGAGATCCTGCCAAAGAGTATAAGAGCCACCTTGGCAGAAAATAAAAGCAGCACTAGTGAGTGTGAATGGATCTGAAGAGTTCATTTAACAACATCTTGGAGAAAATTATAGGGAGGGACTAGACAGAATAAGAGGCTCTTAATAAATATTATTAAATACATGAAGGAGTTTTAAAAAGGCACCAGTTATGAAACTAAATTTTCTTGTTCAATTTTATTTTTTTCTACCCTTCACCCCAAAATTATGAAGTTCGTTTATAATATTTGATCGATTAAGAAACTTATTTGAAAAGAAAATAAGATCTCAATATTACATAGCTCTCTTGGAGAAGAACCAAGAATTAACTCAAAACTTGAACTCTCAGACTTATAAACTATCTATTCCACAATAGTGTAACAATTTTCAATAAAAATAAGTTCTGAAAATTTTAAAAGCCAATAACGATCTAAAAATTTGTTCACATTTGCTCTTGGTTTGTGATGACATCACATATTTTATAACTTTATAATCTTATAAAATATAAAATTGTAGCCTGCTGCAGTAGCTGATGCCTGTAATCCCAGGATTTTGGAAGGCTAAGGCAGGCAGATTACTTGAACTGTGCCCAGGAGTTCAAGACCAGCCTGCACAACATGGCGAAACCTCATCTCCACACACACACACGCACACAAATAGATATATATATATATATATATATATATAAAAATAGCCAGGCATGGCAGAGCACACCTGTAGTCCCAGCTACTCAGGAGACTGAGGTGAGAGAATTACTTGAGCCCAGGAGGTGATTGTGCCACTGCATTCCAGCCTGGGCAACAGAGTGGGACCATCTCAAAAAAAAAAAAAAAAAAAAAAGAAACAAAATTTCCCCTATTTTGAATTTGAATTATACTTCTCATTGTTGCAAAGTAATGTTTATATTCCATCTGTGTTCTAGGTTTCCAGTTCTTTATCCCTGAAAAAATTTGTTCGAAGTTATGCTGACTAATGATTTTCAGTAGAGAATTTGTACAACTCCTATCTCTAGATAGTCATGCCAGGGCACCCTCTGCCTTTCTCTTCAAGCTGTTCTCCTAATTTCAGGAGGGTAATTACAATCCCATTCAAATAGTAAGTATTCAAATAGTAAGTGTTCAATACGATAACAATATCTGTTTATATCGTTATCTATCTCATAGAAATTGGGAAAAACTTAAACAAGTTAATCTGTCTCACAGCAAGTACTCTAAAACACATGCTAAAAGTAGCTGCTGTTGATGTTGGTGGTGTTAAAAACAGTAAGAGGGATTGATATGGTTTGGCTCTGTGTCCCCACCCAAATCTCACCTTGCATTGTAAATTCCCATAATCCCCTTCTGTCAAAGGTGGAACCAGGTGGAGTTAATTGAATCTGGGAGCAGTTTCCCCCATGCTGTTCTCATGATAATGAGTGAGTCTCATGAGAGCTGATAGTTTTATATGTGTCTGGCATTTTCCTTGCTTGCACTCATTCTCTCCTGCAGTCCTGTGAAGAGGTACCTTCCCCCATGATTGTAAGTTTCCTGAGGACTCCCCAGCCATGTTGAACTATGAGTCAATTAAAGCTCTTTTCTTTATGAATTACCTAGTCTTGGATATTTCTTCATAGCAATGAGAGAACAGTCTAATACAGTAAATTGGTATTGAGGGAGTGGGGCCCTGCTATAAGGACACCCGAAAATGTGGAAGCACTTCTGGAACTGCAGTCCACAGGCAGTGGCTGGAACAGTTTGGAGGGCTCAGAAGAAGACAGCAAATTGTGGGAAAGTTAAGAACTTCCTAGAGACTTGGAGGGCCCAAAGACAGAAAAATTTGGGAAAGTTTGGAACTTCCTAGAGACTTGTTGAATGGCTTTGACCAAAATGCTGATAGTGATATAAACAATGAAATCCTGGCTGAGGTGGTCTTATATGGAGATGAGGAACTTATTGGGCACTGGAATAAAGGTGATTCTTGCTACGCTTTAGCAAAAAGACTGGTGACATTTTGTCCCTGCCCTAGAGATCTATGGAACTTTGAATTTAAGAGGGATAATTTAGGGTGTCAGACAGAGAAAATTTAAGCATTCAAGAAGCAGCAGAGCATAAAAGTTCAGAAAATTTGCAACCTGGTGATGCAATAGAAAAGAAAAAACTATTTTCTGGGGAGAAATTCAAGCCAGCTGCAGAAATTTGCATAAGTAATGAGGAGCCAAATGTTAATCACCAAGACAATGGGGAAAACGTCTCCAGGGCATGTCAGATATTTTCAAGGCAGCCCCTTCCATCAGAAGGTCAGAGTTCTAGCAAAGAAAAATGGTTTCATGGGTAGACCCAGGTTCCCCCAACTGTGTGCAGCCTTGGGACTTGGTGCCCTATGTTCCAGCTGCTTCAGCTCCAGTCGTGGCTAAAAGGGGTCAAGGTACATTTCTGGCCATTGCTTCAGAGGGTGCAAGCCCCAAGCCTTGGCAGCTTACATGTGGTGTTGAGCTTGAGGGTGCACAGAAGTCAAGAATTGAGGTTTAGGAATCTCTGTCTAGCTTTCAAAGGATGTAAGGACACATCTGGTTGTCCAGGCAGAAGTTTGCTGCAGGAGTAGAGCCCCATGGAGAAACTCTACTAGGGCAATGCAAATGGGAAATGTGAGATTGGAGCTCCCACACAGAGCTCCCACTGAGGCACTGCCTACTGGAGTGGTGAGAAGAGGGCCACCATCCTCCAGACCGCAGAATGGTAGGTCCACTGACAGCTTGCACTGTGTGCCTGGAAAAGCTTCACTCAATGCCAGCCCATGAAAG
The DNA here is from genome assembly GCF_000001405.40 of Homo sapiens. Lineage (NCBI taxonomy): Eukaryota > Metazoa > Chordata > Mammalia > Primates > Hominidae > Homo > Homo sapiens. Next base: position 130,191,178 of record NC_000004.12, on the reverse strand, counting down.
CAGCCAAGAGCGGGGGCTGTACCCTGCAAAGCCACAGGGGCAGAGCTGCCCAAGGCCATTTGGGAGCCCACCTCTTGCATGAGCATGACCTGGATGTAAGCTCTGGAGTCAAAGGAGATGATTTTGGAGCTTTAAGTTTTGACTTCCTCGCTGTATTTTGGACTTGCATGGGGCCTGCAGCCCCTTTGTTTTGTCAAATTTCTCACATTTGGAATGGGCATGTTTACCCAATGTCTGTACCCTCATTGTATCTAGAAAGTAATTAACTTGCTTTTGATTTTACAAGCTCATAAATGGAAGGGGCATGCCTTGTCTCTGATGAGACTTTGGACTTGGACTTTTGGGTTAACGCTGGAATGAATTAAGACTTTGCAGAACTGTTGGAAGGTTATGATTGTATTTTGAAATGTGAGGAAATAAGATTTGGGAGGAGCCTGGGGCAGAATGATATGGTTTGACTGTGTCCCCATCCAAATCTCACCTTGAATCGCAATCCCCATAATCCCCACGTGTAAAGAGAGAAATCAGGTGGAGGTCATTGAATCAAGGGATTGGTTTCCCCCATGCTGTTCTCATGATAATGAATGAGTCTCACAAGATCTGGTGGTTTTAAGTGTCTGGCATTTCCCTTGCTTGCACTTATTCTCTCCCCTGACACCCTGTGAAGAGTTGCTGTATTAGTCCATTTCATACCGCTATGAAGAAATACCAGAGCCTGGGTAATTTATTTTAAAAAGAGATTTAATGGACTTACAGTTCCAAATGGCTGGGGAGGCCTCACAGTCATGGTGGAAGGTGAAGGAGGAGCAAAGTTACATCTTACCTGGTGGCAGAAAAGAGAGCATGTGCAGGGGAACCGCCCTTTATAAAGCCATCAGATTTCATGAGACTTATTCACCATTACATGAACAGCATGGGAAAAGCCTGCCTTCATGATTCAAGTACTTCCCACCAGGTCCATCTCACTACACTTGGGATTATGAGAACTACAATTCAAGATGAGATTTGGATGGGGACACAGAGGCCCAGAAATCTAGGAGGGAAAAATGGTTTTGTGGGCAGACCCCATGAAACTAAACACTATCAGGGGCCTTCTGCCATGATTGTAAGTTTCCTGAGGCCTCCCCAGTCATGTGGAACTTTGAGTAAATTAAGCCTCTTTTTTTTAAAATAAATTACTCAGTCTCTGGTATTTCTTCATAGCAGCATCAGAATGGACTAATACAGTGATATTACTGGGGCAGTATCGTTCCCTACGGTGCCAAGTACCTAAAATCTGAGGAAAGTTAATGTTTAATCAGGATGTTAGGTTATGCTGTAGAAAAAAAGTTAATGGCTTAATCAAAAAAGATTTATTCTTCTCTCAAATAATATTTTAATACAGGTGCATGAGGGCAGGGGTAGGAATTTTGATCCCAGTAATCAGTCAGGGACTCAGGCTCACAGAGGCTTTCTCTCAGGTTAACGACAGCAGCTGGTGTAAGGTACATGTCAGCCCCTAAGACCTTCATCAGGACATAAGACATGCCACATGATTAATATTTCATTGACCACAATAGGTCACCTGGAAATGCTTACCTTCAGAATGGGTGAGATGTGAAATCTTGCCCCGTACCCAGAAGGAGGAGAACTAGTTTATGTGTAAACAGCCCCAATCATGGGATAATTGGTACTATCTATAACTCTCCCATTGACCCCATATTAACAGGATTTATTTCTTTCACTTGCAGAACCATCAGTAGTTTGTAACCTTGCTATCTTGCATGCATTTGATACAACATCTGGGAAACAATTAACAAGAAACTTGCCCCCTCTGCCATATGGCCAAAGAAAGAATAATTACATATGTGCACCAGAGCAAATAATAGCAGGTTATATGCCATTGCAAGTTTCAGTGGCAAATATATCATTGCAAATTTTGGACCTTATATTTTTCATTTTACCAAATATTTATCATGCAAATATACCTTCAAATTTTATAAAGAAATAAGACACAAGCTGTATCCTAAAAAAGTTAAAATCTATTAAGGAGCAAATACTGGCATAGAGATCATCATAACACAAAGATGAATATCGAAACCACAGAAGAACTAAAGGTGAATAGCATATCAGAGCATAGGAAGAATTATCAAGTTGATGGTGTTGAAAGCAGTGTTCATGAGGTTGTAGGAGACCAAATATGCCACTCTAAAATGTGCCTCTTTGGCATAAGAACTGTTGATCTGAAGGCAATTAAGAAGAAATGGATGAAAGAAATTCTTCTGTTTTATATCTGTTTATCTAAAAGCAGGACATAAATTTACAACGACAAAAGGTATACCACCCCCCCACTTCTTACCGTGGAGAATAACGGTTAAACACTTAAGACAACGTTAAATGTTTATGGGCCTGGAGGTGGCACCAGGGGCCTGGATATGGCACTGGCGTGTCTACATTAACAAGCTTTAGGAACTAGCCTTTATCTGCCAGTGATTTGCCTTCCCCCCAAGGTACCACCCTTAGAGATTCAAAGACCTTTTCCATTGCCTTGTCGCTCTAAATGTTTACTATTCCTTGTTGAAGATGTTATCTGAGCTGGAATTCGAAACTACCTCTTTGAGAACTATGCATTCCCTAGGTGTCTTCCATGTATATTTGAAATACATATGTTAACAAACTTCTGTTTGGTTTTCTCTTTTTATTCTGTCTTTTGTTACAGGGGTCCATTCCAACTAATGACTTATGAGGGCTGTGGGAAATAAAAATACAATTTCTTTCTCTACAAATTCCAGCAGATAAAGGATAGTTAGTAAAGCTTGTTAGAGTAGATTCCTCTGTTGCCATTTCCAGGCCCATAAGGGTCTGAAGTTGTATTAAGTAGTTAACTTCTGTTCTCCATGGTAGAAAAGGGGTGGGGGGATACATATTTTGTTTATGTAGATTTATGTACTACTTTTAGGAAAATAAAAGGGAGGCAGAGAGCTTTCCTTCGTCTGTTTCTTTTTAATTGCCTTCAGCTCTAAAGTCCTGGTGTCAGAGACGTATTTTGAGATGGTGTATTCTGGTATCCCTTAGGGGTTTGAGGATAAACAGGATATCGATAGGCAATAATAATTGCTAAACTTTTGTATGTTTACTATGTGTCAGGCATTGCTTTGCAAGATGTTTTTGTATTATCTCAGGTATTCCTCACTGTAGCTTTCATACCATAATTTATAGACAAAGATACTGAGGCTTTGATAGATGTTGGCATACCACCCATTTGGTAAGTAATAGGGCCAGGATTCAAATTCAAGAAGTCTCACTCTAGCCACTATATTCCATTGCTTCCAGCCCTGTTGAACTGGTAACTGAAAGAGAAATTAGGAGGAAAAAAATGAAGCACCAATGGGAAAAGTGTTGCTATGTTATGGGAGCGACACTGAGGCCAGTTTGCTATTGGCTAAGGTATTTTGCAAGGAGAAATAGCAAAAATGGGTTTAGAAAGAAAAATTTGAGACATTCTGATATCTGATCAAAGTCATTGGAAGCAGGAGAAAAGCATAGAAAGATAATGTTAGAGGAATTTGAGAATAAAAAATATTGATATGAGAAATTCTGTCACATGACTTGCTTACTAAATTTATATTTATAATGAACAGGTTCTGGAGTGAGGTCCCTTGTCACTCTTTATCCTGCTCACTCTAAACCTGCCAGAAAGATGTGCTTAAAATCACGGAAATATAACAATATAGTATATCTGGCTGGGAAAATAGGTTTTAAGTGATTGTTTAAATTTCTAAATTACGGTATATGAAGTAGGCATCATGGTGAACTTCCACTGTGACATATACATTAATGTGTTGCTTGAAATAGAATATTTTGTACTTTTGCATAAATCGTTCTAATTATGTTGTTTCACGAGATAATTAGACCTTTTGTTTGGCTTAATCTTCTTTTAATTTGAGAGAAAACATTTAACCTTGCTCCATTTTCCATCTCAGTAATATCTGACAGACAGTGTAGAGATCATGAATGTGGCACTTTTCATGTGTATGAAAAGGGCTTGGCTTTATCCCATATCTTTTTGTGCCAACCAAACATGCCAGTATTCAAATTCTCAAGTAGGCCATCAGGGCCATATGCCTAATTAAATATGACTGGTCTTCTAGTAGCCTAATTATAATTATTTTAAGAGAATGTTGGCATGAGTGTATGTATCTGTAAAACTGACTTAAGCTATTAGAGATTGAACGTTAATTTGAGTTAGTGCTCCAAAATTACTTGTCCTTAACTTTATGTCTATGGCAATGATCACATAAAACTTACCTGTAAAATAGTGGCTAATTATTCCATTTACAAACTCATTTAACCCACAAAACTGTTTCATTCTTATGAGGTAACTATTTTCCTGCCTATTTGCTTTGAATTGAAAGAAAAAATTGTTTTTAAATGGAGTAGCCCTGTGTATAATTTATATATATATATGCAAATCTACTATCTAGATCACCATCATTTCTTGAAAGGAAATATATTTTAATAACAAAATGTGAAATAACCACAGTCACGCATTTGGGAATAAAAACTTTAAATTGAATGAATTAAGCATTGCACAGTGTTCCTCTCTCTCTCTCTCTCTCTCTCTCTTTCTCTCTTTTCTCTCTTTTTCAGTACCAAATTCTAAAACAAAGAGTTATAACACCAGGCTTGGATACAAAAATTTTTACCCTAATATATTTTATGATTGAAATAAATTTTCAAAAAATATTTATGCATGCATGTTCAGGTGACATATATGTTAATGATAATGTTAAATGAGAGACTTTATAATGCATTAATTCAAATAACTTAAGGATGATTATGAAATGAGCAAATAAGTCAATTCTAAAGAAGCACTACAAAGACAAACATTTCTGACTTGTTCACCACTAAATACCCATATTCTGCATCATTTATACATAGATTATCTATAAACAAGACTTGAATAAGTAAACGATGTAACTTCTAATAGACTGTTGAGTACTGCAATTTTATTAAAATGTTTTGAATTCTCTCATGGCCTAGTAAAACAATTAAGTCCTCTAAACTTTCTGACTTCTTGAGAAAAAAAAAGAGAGAGAACAACATTCCATAGGTTTATAAATTTAAAAATTATTTGTTAAACTATTAGCTACTAAAAATGTTTATCAATCGCTTTATTGAATTTGTACTTATTTGGAGATATTAATGTGATTATATAAAACTGTGATATTTAGGGAGAAAGGAGTTCTAAATAACCCATGAACAATATAAAATAAAAAATACAATAATTTTAAAGTATTGTGTTATTCTGTATTAGCTGAGATAGTTTATTAAATGCTAAGGCAAGGGACCTTTAAAAAATTAAAATATTTACCATAGGCTAAGTGCAATTGTCACAGGTTCTCAACTAACTGCTGTATAAAGTTGAACATTAGCATTTCAAAATGAGAACATTACTTGATTGAGTGAAAGGTTGAAAGAAATCAGATCAAATGGAAGATCCCTGAATAGAATACCAAAAGGCAGATTCAGGTGTGAAGTGAGGAAACATATCACTGGTGAATTAAAAGAAAATAAGAACATGGCATTGCACACAAAAATCTAAGAATTGTAAGATTAAAGAAAAAAATCATTTGAACAATTTAGTGCTATTTTCTCTCTCTTTTGGAGGAACAGATAAAATATTGTCAATAACTTTAGATTAGGTGATATGTATTCCAAAAGAGATATGGGAAATCAAAGTTTTCATGTTTTATTGTTTATGTCCTTTTCCTAGAACTTGATATAATCTCTGATGCATGAATTACTTTTTTCTTTTATCACTTCATTTGTGAATTATTTAAAGCAGGATAAAGTTTTGCATTACAATGGCACTGAATTGGCTGCACTGTAGGGATTAAACCACCACAGTGTGGGCACATGGAGCCCTGTTCAGAAAGAGAATGTACTAGGCTTAGAATTTTGAGAACAATACAGGTTGCATTTATTGCTTAACTCTGTATAGCTAGTAAATTTTTTCAACAACCAGAGATTAACTTAATTAGACATGTGTATCCTTGTATTTTTTTAAATTAACTTTTATTTGCTCTCCTCCTTCCTAATGTTTTTTACAATGTGCTAATTAAATTGTTATCAGACTTTAAATAATAATGATAATCATAACAATATTAAGAGTAACTGTGCCGGGCGCAGTGGCTCACACCTGTAATCCCAACACTTTGGGAGACTGAGGCGGGTGGATCACGGGGTCAGGAGATCGAGACCGTCCTGGCTAACATGGTGAAACCCTGTCTCTACTAGAAATACAAAAAGTTAGCCGGGCGTGGTGGCGGGAGCCTGTAATCCCAGCTTCTGCGGAGGCTGAGGCAGGAGAATGGCATGAACCCGGGAGGCGGAGCTTGCAGTTAGCCGAGATTGCGCCACTGCACTCCAGCCTGGGCTACACAGAGAGACTCTGTCTCAAAAAAAAAAAAAGAGTAACTGAATAAATGGTTAACATGAATGCCCTGAATTAATTCTCAAAACAAATGTTAGGTATATGTAATTATTATTGGCTTTTACAGGCAATAAAACCAATTTTCAAGATCATAACAGGCTATCTCAAAGATTATACAGTTTAAGAACGTAGGCTTTTCTGTCTCAAACATGTCAGGTCAACCACCATGCTTGACTCTTCAATCTAAAATATCTTTTAAAAGAGGTTCTGCTTTTCTTTTAGTGCCGCTAAACAAGTGTGGCCAGTCGTTGGCTGGATTCTTGATTCAGTAGCTTATGTACCTTTTCCACAAGGCTTGTTATTTTTTATTGTGTATGCAATCTGGGGTCACTCATCTCATCTTAGATCCTCCAGATACCATAAATTCATTAACTTTACTAAGATATCCTTGATATAGTGGGATAAGAGGTTACCTCTGCCTACTTAATAATTGGTCAACATTTGTTAAATGTTGACTAAGAAGGACCTCTTCCAGATAATTCACATGTATTAACTCATGAAACTATTTCAACAGCTCTATGAAGCAGACAAGCCAGCTTTATGTGTGTAATATCTGTGCAGCTGCTCAAGGTGTCATGCTCAGAAAGGCCTGTGCTTGATATAATGAAGTGCTGTCACCATTTTCACATTCTAAATAATGTTATCTTTGAACATGTGTTTTTAAGTAAAGTTTCATGGGATAATGAATGATATGGTTTCGCTGTGTCCCCACTCAAGTATCAATTTGAATTGTAATAATCCCCACATGTCAAGGGCAGGCCCAGATGAAGATAATTGAATCATGCGAGCAATTTCCCCTATGCTGTTCTTGTGGTAGTGAATTAGTCTCACAAGATCTGATGATTTTATAAACAGAGTTCCCCTGCACAATCTCTCTTGCCTTCTCTCATGTAAGACGTGACCTTGCTCCTCCTTCAACTTCCGCAATGATTGTAAGCTTCTCCAGCCATGCAGAACCCTGAGTTCACTAAACATCTTTCCTTTATAAATTACCCAGTCTCAGGTATGTCTTCATTAGCAGCTTGAGAACAGACTAATAAAATAAAGTATGCACATGAGCACAGAAGGTGCATCATGCTTCTTTTCCCTGCCCCCTAATTTGCATACATGTTCACAATCCCTCAAGAGTACAGAGTTCCAGCGGACTAATACAGCATAGGAGTTTAATGAGACTCAAAGCAAGTACAAACAAAGCATGTTTCATCTGCTAATGAGTAAGTGGAGAAACTGAGAACTGTGAAATGCCATGCTTTCTCTTGGAACCAAAACTTGCTTCAAACACAGAAGGAAGCCAAAGGCATTCCAAAAAACATAAGCAACCAAGGAATTTTTTCATATCCTTTCTTACTCATATTACTTCCCTGGATTAACCAACCATTTATGCTAAAAGGATGACATAACAAGAAAGGGAATAAGTCGAGCCATTTTTTCCTTTTCCTTTTAATCCTTCCTTAGTCATCAGTAAGTCATAGTTAGAGAGTGTTGGTAGAAGAGTGTTGATAGAATATATATTTATCAAGAAGTAAAATAAAAACGATTGAGTTAGTTTTTTGCATTGTCCCCACTTTGGGCAAGGGTAAAATACATAGGCATCTATGAACTATGGAATAAGAATTGTGTAGCAACAGCAATTCCATATGCAAATTAAATACTTGTATTAATATTTGAAACTAGAGTTGTACAGTGCAAGCTGATATAATTTATGCTAATAATTTAATTTTTAATTTTTTTGATTAAATACAATGAAAAATACGTAGAAATAAAAGCATCATGATGAGTCAAGGGAAACTGCAAAAGGAAAACGCTTTATATTTTGGTACCTTAACTGCAATCCTTTCCTGCTTGTTGAACAAGGGAACTTGCATTTTCATTTTGTAATGGAACATACAAATTACATAGCCAGTCCTTTAGGAAGATATTATTATAATCATTTCTATGTTACAGATGAGGAAACTAAGACTCAGAGAGACGAATCAACTTGCTGAATGTCAAACAGCTAATAAATGAGGGAAGAATTTGAAGCCAGGCAGTAAGGTGTCGGAATCTATGATAGACATCACTAAATAAAAACAGCATAGTATAGAGGAAATAACAGAATTAAAATCACAATATGTGAGGGTACATCGTTACCTCTCCACTTAGTTTCTAAGAGGAGAGTCCCTTAAAGTAACTCTGATGAAAAGTTTCACACACACAAAAAGGATTATTAATATCTATCTCATAGGTTTGTTGAGATGTACAAATAAATAAGGTATATTAAATTAATTTAAAAGCAGAAAAGCACTATGCAGATATTTCTTACAAGTGTTGACGCTATTTTGAATATTTGCATGCAGTCAACTCGCATGTAAATAAAATGAATCTTTTAGGAAATAATTAACGATTGGATGCTACTGCCAGAAGGAAACATAAAACAAACAAACAAAAAACAGAACAACTGAGGGACTTTTAAAAACCTAAGCACAATGAGAAGGAAAATCACATGTGTTATCCACATAATTCAGTTTGGAAAATTAATATATGCATTATTTACAAAAATAATCCAGATACATACTTAATTTGCTCTTTCTTTCAACACTCTTATACTATCTGAAATAAGGATTCTGATAAAAGCATAACTTTAGCTCATAACTAAATAGATAAATCAAAATGCCTCTCTATAAATAATCCTTCTTTAATAAAATCAATTCTTAATTAGGTCTTATATGTTCACTCATATTTAAATGTAGTGTTTTTTGTCTCAAAATGCCTATACTTCCACATTTATATGGTATTGAAGTGGATATCATTAAAGCAAGTTTACTCATCACCTATTCTGGACATGACACAACTCAAGAGTTTTCCTTATTTAAAAAAGTTTAAATTTAGGTCTCTCGCCTAAAGTCCAAAAGTGATGTTTGAACTACAATCAGTTCAAAAAATATCAAACATTTCAAAAAAGACTAAAATTTTAAATGTTTAAAATGGAAGGCAAATAAATTGTACATAATGAAGTCAGTTAAGTTCGCCACTTAAATTTGTCCTATTTGTAAGACAAAAATTAAAATATGAGATCTCAGTTTATATTTGTGCAAACAGCTTTGAGAATGTTTGGTAAAAATAGCTTGAAGGCCTCTCTTGGGAAACATTTTTTTTTTCATTTTTAGAGAAAACATCAACCACACTTTCTAACTCTGAGAGCAAAGAATGTTAGTATTTTTCCATTGACAAGAGGAGAAAGATTAAGTTTCAGCCTTTTTTTTTTTCTAAGACGAACTCTGTCACCCAAACTGGAGTGCAGTGCCACCACACCTGGCCAATTTTTGTATTTTTTGTGGATATGGGGTTTCACCACATTGGTCAGGCTGGTTTCAAACTCCCGGCCTCAAGTGATCCACCCGTCTCAGGCTCCCAAAGTGCTGGGATTACAGGCGTGAGCCACCATGCCCAGCCCTGTTCAACTATTCTTGATTCCAGGTGTAAAGACAGGCACTCTTACTGACAAACTCCTGCAAATCTGACTTTTGCTTTTATTCTGAGGGATTCTATTTCCTTTAATGAAAGGGAATATTTAGTAACTTAAAAATGACTTTGAGTTTCACCTCTCAGTGTTTTACGAAGATCAAAATTGTGTACTCCCAAAATTCAGTCAGGATAACTTGCAATTTCTGAAGTAAAGTCCATAAAGTTAGATGCTACCTATTTTCTGCTATTTGAAAAATGTATCCCTAGTGTTAAAATTAATTTTATACCTCCCTTTCCATTTTTAAATATGCCTAAATCTTCTTTTTTTAATGTCCTTATTTATTATTTTTACTTTTTGCTCTCTCTGATTATTTTCTCTAAATATGGCCTTAGATATTGGTTATAAATTTCTGTTAATTAAATAAGATATTTTATAATGCTATTCTTCACATATTCTGTGCCAAGCACTTTCACGTATTTACAGCCTACCATTTATTAAGAGAGGCTCACCAGACTCAAGTGTATATGTCCTTTCAAGACAAACATTTTATTTCTACTGTTGGAATGTCTGTATGTCTTTATTTCTACCCCAATCTTAATTGTCTCTTGCACTCACTTTTTGCACGTGTGTGTTGTTCTTCCCCTTTTTTTTACTTTCTCAAATTTATTTTTCTTTCACCTCTTATTCTTGTAGGATCACTATCTGAGCTAGTTCTATAACACATTTGGTGGTGTTTTTGAAAATTATTGAACTGTTTTATGAATAGTGTCACCATTTTTAAAGCATGCAAATAGCCTTTGCCCCCTGCTTTTGTTTCCACCATAAAAAAAAGAATGGGGTGTGTTTGACTTGCAGGACTCCAAGATATTCTTCGCTCCTACATTTTATTTCTTCTTATCTCTTCCTTTTCACCTCTTTTCCTTAAAACTTTCATTAAGATCTGATTTTACATCTTCTCTGCATTTAAATATAGCAAGAAAGAACCCACATCTAGATCAGTATAATTACAGACAAAAAATGAAAGGATAGAGTATAATAATTCCTATCGCAGGAAATCATATAAGAATAATCAATACATTCACTTTCAAACTTCTACGATTGCAACTGGTTTTTACTCAGACTCTAAGTTCTAAATATTTAAAGAACTTATGTTTTTAAAGTCCCTTCTTCTAAAAATAAATGGTGATTAAAAAATAAAAAAAGGAACAGCATGATATGGTATCGTTTATTCCTCATCATTTTTTCCTCCCACCTCACTATTTTATTTTATTGTCACAGCATTTTTGCGTTTACTTATAAATAAAAGAGTAATTACTGGTCACAAAAGAAAATGACAAAAGTCTGTTCATTTGCAAAGAATAGAATAATTACTCAATTAAGTTATAACTGCAGGAAAGTAGAAAAAGTCATGAAATATGCATGTGAAATGCATTTATATATTCTTGAAGCTTCTGCTTTCTTTCCATTTGCATCTCTGTATGAAAGACATTGTGTTGCAGAAACAAATAGTCACATTAGACATGCCTGCACAGCTGCTGGGCAAGTTAAGTTTATTAAAACCTTAGGGTAGATACTTAAAATACATGCTCAACTTTTTTAATGTCATGGGAACCAATGAAGTGAAGTATGTATTTTCATTATATCTATTCTAATTCACACCTTACACAAATGTACACATTTTCATCCCTAGATGGAAATATAGGATTCTACAGTTGCCAAATGCAGCGCTGATATATCTGTATGTGCATAATGTATGTGGCAATGAATATTGCAAGTGAAATGTGGACAAAAGTCAAGCATAAAGATTCTTATACCAAAAGCTTCTCTACATTTCTGGCATTCTGTAAAGATACTTATGCGGGGGTGGGGGATGCAAACTCACGAATTATAAAAACAGACCTAAGCAAAAAATAAAAGGTTGCACATGTTTTAAGTAGTCATACTAAAACGTTTCACCTAGTTTTGGGCAATTTCTGAAATTTGGTGACTTAAAGGCAATGAATTTGTCTGTTCTGTAAGTAATGGGTTCTAATTAAGAATACAGCCCTGGAATCTGAGCTGGGGGCCTGAAACCTGTCACAGGAGATGAAACATGTGAAGAACTTATTAATTACTACTACGTTTATTGTTATTTTATTATTAGAGGACATCATATATGGTGCTTTGGGAAAATATGTATAAGATTCATAATTACATGGATATTCACCAAAACAACAGGCACACCGTGCTTCCCATGGATTGGCCTGTGTGTATCTATCATTTGTTGGATTTTTATATTTTGCTTATCCCCCGTGGTCATATGATAGAATCTGGAACCAGACTGTCTAAGTTGAAATCTCAGCCATGCAACTTACCAGTTGTATGATCTAGGGCAAGTCATTTACTCTTTCCCCCTGGCTTAGATTTCATTTGTAAAGTGGAGATAAAGGAGTACCTTTTTCATAAGATGTTTATGAGGATTCAATGAATCAATACACATAACAATGTTAGTGCATTACTTTGCACGGAGCACAAAATGGCTCTTAGCTACGTTCTATGTGCCACTTTTTTTCTTGAATTTATTTTATAAAGAAAGATGATAAATGTGACGTGACATGTATAAAATGAAAAAATACATGTATAATACTTTAGAGTTGTCTGAATCTGCCATGCATTGCTTACCTAGTAACTGTGAGTAAACAAGCATCATACATTGAATTATACTGATGTATGTGCGTGACATTTTTAAGTGTCTTTATTGCACAGAAATATGTAAGTGAATTAATAGAGGAAAAATAATTATTTTATGCACAAAGTCACTGTGGAAAGTATTTTTAGTTCTTTGAAGTGTTTTTCCTTCTCTCAACTAATTATCAAGTAGCTGCCTGATTGCTGATGATTGATGACTGATGGAGAGGAGGCTCAGCAGGTGCTAATAGTTTGGTTAGCATAAGTGATGCTGAGGAAGGAACAGCATATCTTTGAGGCAGCCAGAGCTACAGAAGATTCTCTCAAGGGTGGTGATTTGGAAGATGTGTGTAGGATTTGTGTTACAAATGGAAAAGAGTGGGATCTGAAGATTGTCTTAAATATAATTGCTAATGATAATAATAGTTCTGAAGATGATGCATAAAAAGGGTTTTTTGTATTTAAAACTTTGAATAGACAATAGAAAGTCAAGAAAAACTTCAATAGAGACAAATCTAACTTCTCGAATCAGATTTAAAGAAACATTTAGCTTCCTTTAAAAAAACTGTCACACATTAGGTGGTAAGTAAATCATAATATTGAGAAATAAATGAATTATAACACTATAATTTTGTATTAAAACAAAATGAAACTGTCACATAATTTTATTCAGTAAATGTTCACATTAAAACATTTACAATTTTATTTTTTAACAAAATAAGAAATTAATAAGTTATTTGCTTTAATGTTACAATATAACACAAATAATAATATATTTGAAACTTAAATAATGGTAAGCAGTGATTTCTTTATTTCAAACTATATTATTTTAATAAGAGTATATAAATTAAAATTTCTACACACATAAATGTTCTTGAAAACTTTCATTCTTAAACAGTAATCTGCTCATTTAGCTGAGGCACTCTCAAAAACAAAATTGAGATTCCTTTTTTTCTTATTTCAATAGTTTTTGGGAAACAGCTGGTTTTTGGTTACATGGATAGGTTCTTTGGTGGTGATTTCTGAGATTTTGGTGCACTCGTCACTCAAGTGGTGTACACTGTACCCAGTATGTAGTTTTTTTATCCCTCACCTCCCTTCCACCCTTACCCACTGAGTCTCCAAAGTCCATTATGTCATCCTTATGCCTTCGCATCCTCACAGCTTAGCTCCCACTTATAAGTGAGAATATACAATATTTGGTTTTCCGTTTCTGAGTTACTTCACTTGGAAGAATAGTCCCCAATTCCATCCAGGTTACTGTGAATGCCATTATTTTGTTTCTTGTTATGGCTGAATAGTATTCCAACGTATAAATATACCACATTTTCTTGATCCTCTCATTGGTTGATGGGCATTTAGGTTAGCTCCATACTTTTGCAATTGCAAATTGTGCTGCTATAAACATGTATGTATATGTGTCTTTTTCATACGATGACTTCTTTTCCTTTGGGTAGATACCCAGTAATGGGACTGCCGGATTGAATGGTAGATCTACTTTAAGTTCTTTAAGGAATCTCTATACTGTTTTTTATAGTGGTTGCATTCATTTATATTCCCACTGGCAGTGTAAAAGTGTCCCATTTTCACCACATCCCTTTCAATCCATATCTTTTTTTTTAATTTTTTAATTATGGCCATTCATGCAGGAGTAAGGTGGTATCTCATTGTGGTTTTAATTATTTCCCTGATAGTGACGTTGCATATTTTTTATATATTTGTAGCCATTTGCATATCTTCTCATAAACCCAATATAGGAATGGCCCCTAAAAGTACACAGTGTTAGCCAAAAACAGAAACATGTCACACTTATAGGATGTGAGCGAGAGCCTGTGGATGGTAAGTAGACCCCTGCCTGCATCTTACATGTCTAGAGAGTTTCTGAGTGTGCTTAACTCAAAGGGAAGAATATTAGAATGGAAGTCATATTTCTACAACCAGCTGCAATACTAGGCCAAATTGAAGTAGGTGGCCCCAGGCTAGTTTCTAGATACAGCATCCACCTCCTTGTGAGCCCAAATCTAAATCATATGATTTCAACACACTTTCTTCATGCACATAAGAGAAAAAATAAACATAACAGAACTTTAGAAAACAATGTGGAGGTAGAGAAGGAGTTGTGGGCAAAATGGCCTGTGATACATAGCCTTACATCCAGCTTTGCATCAAGCTACATGCACAAAGAAGACAGAATGGAGAGAGGAGACCATAATGGGCATTCTACCTTAAGGATCCAGGTCTAACCTAGACCTTCCTACAGGGTAGAAGCAGGAATTAACATGGATGACCCATAGATGTTAACTTTTCAATCCACGGTAAACCTGCTCACCAGGGAGGTGCCTACTAGTAACTGTGACCCAGTTAGACTCTGACAAATTATATCAGCAACACTTCTCCCTGAACATGTTCCCAAGAAAAAATCTGGGCACCATTAGCTGTGGTAGCCTCTCCCTAGTAGTTGAGTAAGCTTTTTTATCTGTGGCATAAATTACTTTCTTCATGCTACTAAAAGACATAAGTAGGGACAATAATATAATTAATGAAAAGATCATTAACTAATCTAATTTAGCCATTATGATATTTCAGACATTCTTCTAGGCAAATAAAAAGGGTTACCAATTTAATCTTCATAGCAGCTTCCAGTAGTAAGTGCCATTATTGCCATATTTACAAACAATGAAATGCTACTTACAGAAAGATGTAACAACTTAATCAAGTTTTTATACCAAGTAAGTGGTAAAGCTAGAATGTAGTTTGAATCTAGTTTGAATCTAAATGTGTTCCTTTTAAAATTACACTCAACTGCGTCCCACAATTACAGAGACTTAGTTGAGATCCTGGACCCTATTCTAGCCTAGAAAAGTTACTTTTGAGTGCAAATGCTGTTGCCTCCCTGATAGAAAATTAGATTGAGACATCTATGTGATCCATCTCTTTGGTCTCTCTCTTTTCCTTCCACAGTATTCTTAAACTCAAGTGCTTTTTTCTTGCTTGTTGTCCCTCATCCTATAATACTTTGCTCATCCTACTCTAGAATGTGTTCATTTCTTTTTTTATAGAAACTTTCTTCCTTGATAAACAAATATCTTAATTCTATTTTCATCTTCAAGAATGCATTTATTTTATCTCCCAACTTTAACTGAAATGTGTTTCCCCGACAGCATTCTCCAGTTCAATTTCTGATTTCTTCCTATACTCTTGTCACCATGAGCTCCTGAAACAGGGACTACAGCTGGAGTAGTGTGTATATAGACACACATATGAAGAAACTATATATAGTGTAATTCTGTATTATATTTTGTTAAATATGTTAATTTACATTTCTATTTTCAGTCTTCCGCAAATGTTTAGAAAGTCAGTGATACTACATCTTTGTTTGTTGTGTTCACGAGGGTATCTCCAGAGTCTAAACTGGTGCTTGGCACTTAGTGGTTCTCAAAACATAATTGTTAAATGATTGGATTAATAAAAACTGAATTATCAGGTAATATATATCTTTTCTCTTATAATTCTGGAGAAGGGAAAAAGGAAAACATAAACCATTTTATAAAATTTATCTCTATAAATATGTGGAAATCCCAATAGTATATAAAAGTTCAATTTGTTTCATTTAGCTAAGCAAAGAACACTGGCATCTTTGATATTACTGTGCTTAAGATCTTTCATTTTATGAAAAGCACACCTAGCTCTAATTGCATCCAATTAAGATAAAATCAGAATGCATTGTTGATGTTATTGACTTCATAAATCTAATGCTCAATTACAAAATGACTCCAAACCACTGCCAAGATCTAGACAACTGTTGCCTCTCCCAGAATTAATTTTGCAAAAACAGCCTATATTATGAATCACTTTTTAGGCAATGAAGGTCAACTGTCTATACTTAATGGAATGTTCTCCTGTGGGATAATTTATGTATATTGCCTTTCTTTTATCAAAATATATTTCTGGCTACATATGGCCTGATATTGAAGCATCTCTATATTTCTCAAGACAGATGTCTTACTGGATGTGACTTGGCTGAAAAAAATTGCAATAGATTTACTATACATAACTAAAGTTTTAATTTTAAAATTACTAGTAATAACTGTGTAAATAGTGGGCATGTTCATATTTCAAAATCAAAAAATTAAGAGAACATCATATGACATGAAACGGGATAAGAGAGTAGTTGAGCTATAGACTGGGAGAACATTGGTTTTTGAAATAGAAAAAAAGACAAAGAAGTCTAATAGATTGTGAAATAGCTATTAAAATTTACATTTTAGAAGCCAAAGCTATGAAAACTTTATTATGATAAGGCATCTCTTGAAACCTCATTCACATAATATACACAGTTGTCTGAATTACCACTGTGTAGAGCTTGGCCCAGTGATTTCTCTAAACAAGGATTCATTTCTGAGGTCAGTAATGTTAGATGAACTGAGTTCAAATCTCAAACCGAACACTATCAGAGCTTGATCAAATTTTCTTTACCTCATTTATAAAATGAAAGTATTTTTTGGGGGGTTTTCATGAGGATTAAATGAGTTAATACATATGACATGTTTAAAATGGTATCTGATCACGCCATTGCACTCCAGCTGGGGCAATAGAATGAGACTCTGTCTCAAAAAAAAAAAAAAAAAAAAAAAAAAAGGAAAAAAGAAAAGAAAAAAATGGTATCTGACTCATAGCAATTATTCTTTAAATGTTGGGTCTTATTTTATTTATATTGCTTTGGTACGTATTTCTCCATGCCATAAATAGGTTAGCAATACTCACTAACATCAAAGTTCTTATAAGCCTTTTGAAGACATATCTTGAAGTATGTCAGAAATAGTAAAGGTTTTAAAGAATCAAAGATAAATATGCCATTACTTGTTCAAGCATTTATTAATCATATAACTTTAGAAAACATACTAGTCATGCCTAAAATACTATTTTTACCTGTAACTAGCTACCATATACTGCTATTTGAGATGACTATTTTACAATCTGTGCTACCTTTTTAGTTAACTTCAGGCAATAATACAAAGGAAACAATAAATTAATAAAAATGGGCTTATAAGTGCCCTATTTTGTAGTATTTCCAATGGTTGTAAATACTCCTACCATAGGTAATTTTTTAGCTGCCAAAATGATGTCAGTGAACATGGCATTGGGAAATTATGCATACAATTGACTGTCTTGGGTAGGCATAGCTGGCTTCAGCACATTACTGTTTCTACCCAGCAGAAGATTATTTATCAGTTTGTGCTCCATGTTCAAAGGAACTTCCGCCAGGGGTAGCAAAAAACTTTGCCCCATCACAACATCCATAGAAAAATTAATGATACCAAGAAGAGTTTGCAAATTTCAGAGTGGCCAGTAAAAGAAATGGCTCAGACTTAGTCCTAATTATCTAAAAGAAATTTGCAGGGTGTAGTGGAGTGAGGAGATAGCATTCAATAGGACTTAAATGCTGAAAATCTATGTTTGAAAATATTCTACTTAGAAAAAATTCAATAAAATATATGGAGTAAATAATAAAATAATGGAGTAAATACTAGTTTTAATAAAAAACTAAAGGCAAAATTTGGGCATCAAAGCACACACTAGAGAGTGCAGAGTAAGATAAATATAAACTGGAGAGAAAAAACAGTCTGCATTGTTTCAGCATTTCTCAGACTTTAATGTGCACACACATCACTGGAATCTCTTGTTAAATGCAACTGCTGATTGGTTAGGAATGGGATGGGGTCTGAGATTCTGCATTTCTAATAGTTAGTACTGATTCCTCTGGTCTCTCAATCACATTTTGAATTCCAATGTACTATGTTATTTTAGCTACCTTCAGTTTCTCAATGATTAAAAAAAAAACAAACTCAATCTAAAAAAAAGAAATTCTGAGTAAGTAGCCAACACTGAATTGTTTTAGAAAGTGAAAATTCAGCCATTTTCACAGGGTATAAGGTAGGAAGGAGGTTCCTTCATTGTTTATTTATTAGTTTGCTTGATGACATATAGGAAGCAATGTCAAATAGTTTGGAAAGTGGGAACAACTTGATAGAGGTGTGAGAAGAGTGGAGCCCCCTCTATTCTCTGAAACTATTTTTGAAAGAGACAATCCCTTAGCTTATATTGTTAACTTCACAATGCCTCCCTGGATGAAGAAGAAAATCTGGCAGATGCGTGAGGTGACTCTCCCTCTGCTGCTCAGCAAAACATCCACGAGTCAGCTTGGTGACTCTTCTTTCCACCACAAACACAGTTGGGAAACTTGGGAACTGTTGGCTTCTTTCTAGGCTTCAGTGGTATTGCAAGAGCAAGTCTATCTCAAAGCCACGATGTTCTCAGCCCACCTGTGGCATTATAAACAAAGACATCTAGCACTAGTCTCTTCCAAAGGGTATGAGACATTAAACTTGTCTCTAGGTTTGAACCATAAGTATCATATTTATGCAGTTCATCCCAACAGGGAATTTCAGGAGAATTATGTTCTAAAGATGTGGGTTTAGGTTGCTGTTCTCAACAAATCATTCTGTCAACAGCTTCTCCAGCATATTAAGCTGGATAATGTTTTGATGGTTAATGTATCCAGTTTCTTCTTTCCTTTCTCTTCTGTGTAAATAAATAGCATGTGTAGTATTGCAATTGACTTAGGGAATATATATGGTCAACAGCACTGTTCTGAGCCATATTGGAGCCTGTGGTGAAATAAAAAAATGAGTAAAATTGATCTTATTTTTACTTAAGAATCAAATACTTTGCTCATCATGCATTTTCTGGCTTTAATTTCAATTTTTAAAAGACTGCATTACAATCTTACTGATCTTGATATTAAGATGATTTTTTTTGGTGTCCCTTTAACTTTTGTGCTCAAGATTATTACTCACTGATCTTTCACAATTGGCTAGGTAGAAAGACTCCAAGACTTCCTAGTTTGGGTTTTGCAAAAATCTAAGCCTACTGCATAAGATATAGTTTACAGGAAGATATAGAGAAGGTGTGGAAGAATTTTCTACATGAGTAGGAAGAAAATTCTTGAACTAGGAGATGAAAACAGGTCTATGTGTTTTAGAGCAACTTGGATATCAATTTTAACCTCAGCAATACTTTATATGGGAGGTATATCTTAAAGAGAAATATACTTTTGTGCTTATAAGTAGATTTAATTTTAGCCACTGAGATATTAGGCTTGGAAAATATTCTTATTTCACAAAGATAGTACGAAAGCAGCAGAAAGCCTTGAGCTTGGGAAAGACCATGGAGGTCCAGTGAGATGTTAACGTGATTCTAGGATTGTTAGGGGGACTACTTAAAATAAACAGGGTCAAACTTTTTTATAATTTCAGCAGGATTTGTGTGTGTCTCTGTATGTTTGCTAAAGAGGGTGCTTAGAAAAAACTAAAATAATGTGATATTTCTTAAACATCTTAAACCAAAGTTCATACGAAGTACATATACATACACTGATTGTTGACCTTGCCTATTCAGTAGCATCCAGATCCTGGTGTACATAGTGGAAAAGCCTAAATACTCCCTAAAAAGTTACTTACAATTTGGAAGATTATTTCTGAATGAGTATATAGGATACTTTAATTCTTGGTTCTTAACCCAGTGTCTAAGAATATTACCTCTTCAACATCATTGAAAAAAAGAGGATCCATCCACCATGATTATGTTATTGAACCACAACCTTCAGGCCTTGGATGATTAAATTTGGATGGACATTGTATTTTCAATAAATTAATTTATGGGTTAAGTTGACAGCATTAAATTATGTTGAAAATTTGTGATTAGGACATCCCGACTGAGACAGTAAGACCTTTAGAATGTGGAGGGCACTTGAATCTAATGATTATGTGAAATCAAGGACGAAGTCAATGCTATGACTGTGACTCTAGAAACCAGGGAGACAGAATCAGAGGTGATAATAATAATAACTGAAAATTGGGTCAGCATGCACATTAATGTTGAGTGCCATAGAAAAGGATGAAAATGGATATGGGATTTGATTTTTTAATTTTCTCCCCAAAGTTGAAAAAGAACTTAAACTATGTTTTTAATCATTCTGACTGGGCCTGAGGGAGAAATAGCCAATAAGAGAAAAGAACATTGTTCAGAGTTGGGACCAGGGAAAGGTCTCTCTGCAAACTGTCATGCACTGAGGGCTACAGTATAGAATGAAAAGGCCAAATGCTGACTACATGAAACACAGGTGCTTGATATCACATGCTTAATACTTCTAACCTAAACCACAACCCTATCCCTCAAGTTACTTATAATAAAGGAATTATGTTTATACTCCAAACTGAATCATGATATTTTTAAAAGGCATTATTGCATTAATAGGAAGCCACATCTACCTTAAAGGAAAAAGTGCTTTGGTCACAAAAATAAATTTGCGGAGGTGAAAGGCTGGGGAGCATATTGGAAGAGTGAAGTTGGCAGTCTGTATAAAATTTAAGCTAATCCAAAAGCCATTTTGTAGCCACACACTGGGCAACTCAATCATTTCACTGAAAATTTTAAACCAGGTACTGTTTCAACTGCTTTTCAGATATAAAGAGATGCTTTTAAATGGCCTGTGCATTCTGTTTAATGTATATGCATTCTGAAAATCATGAGAAGATGTAGCTAGGGCATTGATGTTATGTTAGAAAGTAAAAATGTACAGTCAAAGTTAAAAACGTTAGGAAACTTCAGAGAGATACTACTGCATTTTAAAATTTTTATCTCTTGTAACACTTTATTAATCTAAAAAAATCTTAAATGTTTTTACCAAAAATTTACCAGATAATTAGATTAAATTACTAACGTCTTAGAAACATATTTCAAGTCATTTTCTTGAAGATCAGTTGTTTATTAGATTATGCTGCGCATAAGCACACATTTTCCTTATAATTACAATATCTATGAGGTGAACGAGTTAAAAGTAAAATGTTTAAAAGAAGTAGCAAAATTTTATTACAAAGTATTGCAATGTCACCAAGACCAAAAATCCAATAGCAATAGACTTAAAGGAGACAAATATATAATAGCTGATCATTTAGATATAAATTTAGCAAAATAATTATTTCAGAACCATGAATTAAAACCTAATTCACACAATTTATTGAGTGAATTATGCTGCAATCATGCAATTTATTACAGATGTTTCAATGTTTTTTCTCTTTTGATCTAGTAATATGATAGAAAATTTTTCTTTAGGAAAATCAGTACAAGAGACTTTCTGAGTCCTTTCCCCAGTCATTAGTCCTTAAATTCTTACCTTTTTATTCATTCTCAGCAATTAAACTTATTTCTTACATACATATTGTAGGGACATTTCTGTGGTGGATTTTATCTTGCCCCTCCCTGCTAGCTATCTTCATTGTCTTTGAATCTACCTGCCTAGATAAGCATTTTAGACAGATCACTGAGGCTAGAGTTTGGTGAGTGAATTTGAAAACGAGAAAATCTATGATTTTCTATGAGACCAATTAGGAGTATTGCAAGGGTTCAGAAAGAAAAAAATTAAACCCTGGACAACAGGAAAAAGTCAGAATGCTGAAAGGAAACATTTATGAGAAATGCTAAGCAGGAAGACAGTAGAGCACTTAGTGGCCAACTGAGTATGGAAGTGAGAATGAATGAAGCCCATATTTTTGCTCTGGGAAACTGAATGGTGCCTTTCACTGAGATAGGGACAAAGAAACGAGGAAAGTGTTTTATATGGCTGTGAGTGTCTGTGTGTCATGGAGGTAACAGTAGTGGCACTCTTGCTATGTGCATTTCATTTGATTTACATATTTGTGTATTACCTATATTTTGTCCAAAATATCTTTTTTTGCAGTATTATTCTCTCCCAGCGTGGTAGGGTTGTCTATTCCATTACTGTCACTTCTCTCACATGAAGGTCAATTGTAGTCATTATAATTACCGGGAATTTTGTTCAAGACATATGAAAAGTTTAACATAATAGTTTCCTAAGTTTTTCCTCATAGATAGTCCATAGATTTAAAATATGTTGAAAAATTGAATCAAAAAGTACACCAGATTCCAATATGGAGGCCATCCCAACATAAATGGGAAATTTAACCCAACTGTTTACAAAAGCCATATTCCCCAGGTTCAATCCTGAAGTAAATCAAAAGCTGACTTTATTTTAAAAATTAAGCCCAAGTTGCCAGTTTCTAAACTGATCTATTCATTTGCTCAGTGAAAATGTTGATCAATATCTCTGCCAAAATATGGAAGTACAAAGCAACCAAAATAATAAGAAAAGGACATTTGATTACCTGCTTCTGTGGGGCATGCATATTCAGAGTAGCTAAAAGCAGGCCAAATAGCATGATGCAAGGATTCTAATTTTAGACCACATCAAAGACAAATATAAACTCCAAAATTAATATCTATTTAATTTAAATTTGCTTATTCACTAAAACTTAGTTTTTCCATCTGTGAAAATAAGACAATAGTGATACCTACGTCCATTGAAACTTTTTGAGGGTTAAATGACATGGAAGTAATTTAAGAGTTTTTTATCCATAATACTATAATATTGTAATTGGGCTACAAAACAATAAATATATCATTATACATGGCCATTGCCCTTATGTGCATTGATAAAATTTTCTTACATTTGATAGATGACTGCTTTGTCACTTATACATGTGGCTGAAATTTCCCGTACTGTGTCTTTTTTACCTTCGAATTAGTGATTTTAATGAGCAGACATTTGAAATTTTAATAAAACACATTTTTCAGTGTTTCCCTTGTCTCTTTCAAGGTCATGAAGTGAAAATGAAGGAAATGAAATAATTCAGGGAGATATGTTTATGGACGGGATGGGAAAAAGATAAATCAAGGGTTTTGGGCATGAGTAATTGTATGCTCAGTGATATCTACTGTAAAAGGGAAACTGGACAAATTGGAGACACAAGCAAAATTTGTTTTGAATATGTTAGATTTTAAATAATGCTTACTTATTTTGGAGATGACATGGTTGTGTATATGTCTCATGTTCAAGAGAATATTACTACCATAGATTTAAATTTGGCCATTTGATACTTGATATGGTACGAGATGAAGTCCCAAAGGAATAAGTATAAGTAGAGAAGAGGGGGTTGGAACAATGATGGGATATGTCTAAATTTAAAGTTTTACAGGAAATAACTTGTAAAAGAGACTGAGGAGTAGTCAATAAGGCAAAAAGTCAGAACTAGTTGATAACACAGAAATCTAAGAAAGGAAAATGAGGCAAGGAGAATGTTCCTGAGATGTCAAATAAGAGAAAATCAAAGTAGTATCATTGGATTTGGTAACACAAAGGTTGTTTTTGATCTTGACAAAAGTAGTTTCAATGAATCAGTTAGAAAGGTGGAAACTGAGTGATGAGTATAAAATGCAGAAATAATGAGTTCAGATGAAAATTTCAAAAGGATATTCTGTAACAGAGAAGACAATAAAAGCAGAGGAGTATTTAGAGGAGAATATGGAATCAAGAGACATTTTTAATTTGACAAAAGGAGGAGGGTGAAGTTCCGAGATGGCAAGGTATCCAGAGTTCAGTGAAAGAGGGATTTAGCTCACATACGGAAGGGAATATTTGTTCCCTTAGTTGGTTTGCAGGCAGAACAGTAACAAGACTGGATTTATAAAAATCACTCTTGCTGCAGCATGAAGAATAATTGAAGTGGTTATTTTGATATTCCAAAAGAGATATTAGTGAGAGCTTGATCTACAGGAAGATCGGAGGTGATCAGGAAAGGGAAGCAAGTTGGTAGAAATTAAAAAGAGAATAGACTGGTGTTGATTGTGGATTAGAGCACAGAAGTTAAAACTAAAAGAAAGAACTTGAGGGTGATTTCTACTTACCTTCCTCGGGGCCAGTGATGGCACCTTATTACCTAGCTAAAAAATACTAGAGGTAAAGACAATTTGCACCTGGCTTATATGAATTTTGAGGTGCCTGGGAACAGCAAGTGAAGACGTCCAGGTGGCTGTTATATGTGCTATTCATTTAATTGTGTTATTTTAGACCTATCATTTTAATTGAAATAAAAACATCATAGCTTATATTGTGTGTAGGCAGCTGACACACAGTATAAGTTATGATGTTGTTATTTCAAATAAAAATGAGGTTTTTATATTAATTGAAAGAAAAACATCATAGCTTATATTGTGTGTAGGCAGTCAGCACACAATGTAAGCTATGATGTTTTTATTTCAATTAAAAATGATAGTGGCTATTTGCCTTTTTAATTGTGACTTGTTTAGGCTCCAAACATATGAACAAATTAAAATGCATTTAACCAATAAATATAGAAGTTATTTTAATTAAGTTTAATAGACATTAAAAAGAACTAACTTAACTTTTCATATCAAGATAAGGTAGCAATGCCTTGTGAAAAAGTAATAGATTTAGCCCCAGCCACACTACATTATAGTTGCTAAAATAACTTGATTGTAATAGAGTAGGTTACTTATCTAAAACTTTTAAAATATGTAAACTGCATTTCATTCATCTAATTGATAATGTGTTGAATGTATAAACAGGATATATTTAGAATATCCATTTTCCCTCTTGGCAGTTAAACATTTTCTGTACATTTCACATATACATTGCAATTGTATGCAAATAATAGCCGAGAACATTTTTATAGAAATTGGATTTTTTTTGTGTTTCAAACATGCTTAAGATTGGAATGAAAGGACCATATTATAATTTCTAATGTGATTCTTTCCATTTTCAGAAAGATTGCATCTTGCCCAAGGAAGATTTGTTTTTTATATGGATATTTCTCTTTCATGAATTTATTTATTTAGTTTCACCAAAGTTTAGGTAAGGAAATACCTACGCATCAAAAACAAACATATTTTTGTGACTGCAGTATAACCTTCAAGTTAATTATATTTTATTTTATTAAGTTATCAAGTTTATTTATTGAGATAAATAAAAATTTATTATTTTATCAAGTTAATTATTATTTTACTATTTCAGTAATGGTTCCTTTCACTATTAATTAGGCAACAATACACAGTCTACATGGAGATTTTTTGGCACAGTTCCAAATTTTAAGTTATTTTCTCTATAAGATGAATATTAAAAATTATCCTATCTCCCTTCCTTTTCTTCTCACAAAGATGACAGTTATGTGTGAAAAGAATTGTGATCAATGATATCACCTTAGCATAGCAGGCTCTGCGCAGGGGCAGTGGTTGACAGGGGGAAAGTAAACTAGCCACTGTGTGCCAGTCACTGTAACAAATTCTATATAAGCATGATTATATCTAGCACTAACATCTCTGTGAAGTTGGTGTTGCTATTGATTGCTCTACATCTCACTTTAAAGGTGACAAAGTGATGCTAACAGATTTTTTAATTATCTTCCTAAATTCACATAACTTACTGACTGAGCTTAAGATGTCAGCCTAGGTGTGCACAACATATGAACTCAAGTTCCACCTACTACATTCTGCTGGAGTAAAACAGGAACTGTGTAGGGAATGCTGGGCTGGCCTTGTTTCCATGATTTTCTTGGTATTTTACCATTTTTTGTGTGGTTCCTTCTCCAAGTCAAACCTGTTTGAAAGTAATCCATATAAATTAATTCAAAGTATAAAAGGGGTTTAATGGGAGAGAACATAGAGAACAGGTTTCTAATCAAACCCATCAATGGGGCAAAGAAGAGCTGGGTCACATGCAAATGGCAACTAAAAATCAAAACCCGAAATTATATTTTCTGTCCTTCCATAACCATGTGGTTTCTCTCCTCTCTAATTTTTTTCTTCATATCAGCTATATTCTCCTTCAGTTGATCTCGTTTTCCCAATGTACACATAACTAAACAGAGCTACCCATCTTAACTACTACTGTGATCTTCCAGATTTTTTGCTATCCAATGAGGTAGCCACTAGTCACACATAACTATTTGAACTTAAACTAATTAAATAAGAGAAAATAATCAATTTATCTATATCATTAGTCACATTTTAAGTTACCAACAGCCATATTTCCATCATCACAGAAAATTCTATTCACAGCGACCCATGTATTCTAGTTCTTCTTTGCCCATCATGTGTTTTTTTAATTTCTTTGTCTCCTGGTTCTAATTCTCAATTCACTGTAGACATTTCATGCAAGTTCCTGATCCTGTGCCAGAATTTGATGCCCATCCCTGGTCCAATCATTTTGGAGTAGGAAGAGAAAGATCCACTGTCAAATGTGCAGGGCATGTGGACAGGGGAGCAATGTATGTACTCTGTCTTTTCTCTATTTTCCATATAAAATGTCCATATTGCACAGGATTATAAATTATCCATTACTATTAATTTTTCCCTTATGAAGGAAAATTAGCCTTAATTTTTTAATTCATCCCATTCCTCCTGTTCTTGTAAGATTTTTATTAGGTTAGAAATTGGTAACTAGTGGATATATAGTTACATTGGAAAGATTCACAATATCTCCTCCGATATTGCTTTTACGACAAAATTAAATAAATAGTTCAACAATAGAACATGTAGAGCTTAAAATTATTTTACCAGAAGGAAAACATTTTCCAACTATACTGGGAAAGCCAAAACAATTCATTATTTCCTTGTTTTACCTCCCTATATAATGTTCTCTAATGTTGCTCTCATGAGCAAACTCTCGTTTAATATTTTTGGCTGAAATGTATGCTTGCTCATGATACAAGTGAGGTAGTGTAAACTTCTTTTTCAAACTGTGGCCACAAATGTCAACTCATCTACCCAGGGAGGCATGTCAAAGGTGTTTTATTAGCCACATACATCATAGACTTGGGTAGGATTTGCCTATGTCCCTGTGGACAACACATTTATAGGCCCTTCTCAAGGCCATTGAAGCAGATGTTCAAGTGAGGAAGCCAAAAGCTTACACTTTATTGATTATAAGGAAAATGTGCATCTGATCCTTGGCAAGTCTTATTAGAGATTTTCTTTATAATTCTAAAGAAGGGTTTATGAAGACTTTGTGGATGGTGAAAAATTGACACCATAAAATAAAATTCTCTATTAGCATTCAATTTTATTGAGACTTATATTAATTGTGTGCTTCAAACTGTCTGATTAGCAGGTGTATTGTTCTTTAACACCATTACCTATAAGTGATCCTATGAGAGAAGCTTGCATAAATGATTCTATCCCTCAGAGACTTTTAAAAGTAATTAATGCTTATGATAACTTTGAGTTCTTTGGATAAAAGGAGCTTTTGAAATAAACTGCTTATGATGTTATTAAAGTGCTAATGATAGAAAAAAAACACATCTTAGAATGTGATTTGCATGAAAATTGGTACTATAGTTTTAGTGTGTGAACCAAAGGAAACCCAGTGATATATACAGTTTTGTATCTTTGAATTTTACTTTTAAATTGAAATAATATAATAAATGTACATATTTATGAGGTATATAGTGATGTTTTAATACATAAAATGTATAGTGATCAGATCTGTGTAATTAGCATATTCAATTTTTACTACTCTGTAATATAAAATTCTTCCTAAAGTTGCTTTTATGTGACTAATATAAATACTATAACCATTTCACAACTTTAAATTATGTTAATATTATGAATAACCTTGTACATTCTCATTAGGTTGAAATCAAATCATCGAATATCTATTATCACCAGTATTTTCCAATATGCTTCAAAACCAAACTTAATAGCAGATAAATTGTTCACTTTTAATAATTGCAGAAACAACATTTCATTATGCTAACTCAGTTTTCATTGAATCTTTCATCCTTTCTAACATAGGCTATTGCAATGCCTTCCCGGCAAGTGTCCTTACTCTTCTTTTAGTCTCTTTTCACTCTAATCACTCTTTACGCTGTTATCTTGCCATGACAAGATAAAAAACATCCTGATGCATAAGGGATGGAATCTCAGCTCTGTCTCAGTGTAACTGGGGAGCATTATTTCATTTCTATAATATTGGCTTTTCTCATCTTAAAATAAAAATAATTATTGTCTCTCAATATTATTATAATGATTAAAGTATATATTATATGGGAAAACAACATGCATATTTTAGAACCAGAGTTATTCTTTGTAGAGATTTGCAATGTCTACTCACTACCTGTGGATTAGGACCAATATCCTTATCAATGCAGCCTATTCCTGTATTTGATACAGGTGGCTACAATCAGTAATAATTTATTGTGCAGTTCAAAATAACTAAAAGAGCATACCTAGAATGCTTGTAATGCAAAGAAATGATCAATGCTTAAGGTGATGGATAATCCCACTCTCAGCCCCCCCATAAATTGTACCCCCTCTCTAGGCTTTTTAACACTGGATTCTGACCAAATGAGAAGTCCAATGTGTGATAAAGAAGACTTGAATTTCTTTCACTCTTAACCTATGGCTTTCTCTAAAGCCACACTTTTATAGACTCTGCCCCTTCCACCTGGAATGACCCAGCCCATTATTTCCTTTATCTAGATCATATCTACATTTAGTTTCCACACACTTTCCTCAAGACATTTCTGAGTCACTGTAGCAGAAATCTACCCTCTCTTGGCTGGGCATGGTGGCTCATGCTTGTAATCCCAGCACTTTGGGAGGCCAAGGTGGGCGGATCACCTGAGGTCGGGAGTTCAAGACCAGCCTGACCAACATGGAGAAACCCCATCTCTACTAAAAATACAAAATTAGCTGGGCATGGTGATGCATGCCTGTAATCCCAGCTACTTGGGAGACTGAGGCAGGAGAATTGCTTGAACCTGGGAGACGGAGGTTACGGTGAGCGGAGATCGTGCCATTGCACTCCAGCCTGGGTAACAAGAGCAACACTCCATCTCAAATAAATAAATAAATAAATAAAAAGAAATCTACCCTCTCTTTCTCTCTATTACTGAGGTCAATAATACCCAACTCAGAGATGTTACAGCTGCTAAATGAGACAAATTCCAATACATGTCCAAATATCATATCATCTGAGTTTTTTTCCTCGAAAGTGCTAAATGGGGGCTTTATTATTTTATATATGTAGGTCATAGAAAGTTTTTGTTAAGGCATCTTTTAAGCAAAGATCTAAAGGAATCTAGAAAGAAAGGCTTGGGAATATCTGGGGAAAGGGCTTTCCAAACTGAGAAAAGAGCAAATATGAAGCCCAAATGACAGATATCCTATGTGGCTAGAGCAGTGTAATCAAGGCAGAGTTAGAAGTTGAGTTTGAGAAGAGGGAGAAGGTGCAATTCATGTAAAGTGTTCGGGCCACTATAAAGACTCCTAACTCCTACTTTTACTTTGAGAGAGAGTAGAGATCATTGGATTTTGAGCAGATGTTCACTTTAGTTGCTGTATGGTGTGTGTGTGTGTGTGTGTGTGTGTGTGTGTGTGTGTGTTGAAAACAGCGAGACTAGTGAAGAGTCTGTTACAATACTCTGTTAAAAATGATGGTGGGTTTTGCCTAGTGGAAGTGGTAAAGGTCTTGAGAAACAATTTGACCCTGAATTTTATTTTTTTATAGGAAAATGTCCATTAATAAAAAGAATATGCTAATTTGGTGGATGTGGAATGCAACAAAAAGAAAAGCATTGAATATAACTCCAAATAGTTGTGTGTATACTTTTTTTTTTTTTTTTTTTTTTTGAGACAGAGTCTTGCTCTGTCTCCAGGCTGGAGTACAGTGGTGCAATCTCAGCTCACTGCAACCTCCGCCTCCCAGGTTCAAGCAATTCTCCTGCCTCAGCCTTCCAAGTAGCTGGGACTACAGGTGTGCACCACCATGCCCAGCTAATTTTGTATTTTTAGTAGAGATGGGATTTCACCATGTTGGCCAGGATGGTCTCAATCTCTTGACCTCATGATCCTGCCTTCCTCGGCCTCCCAAAGTGCTGGAATTACAGGCGTGAGCCACTGTGCCTGGCCTCATGTATAACTTTTATTACAATTATTACAGGTATAGATTATATCCCTTTTGAGACTTGGAAATACTTAATGGCACTGATAAAATATTCTTAGGTTTTCTTTACCCCCACTAACAAGGGTAGTATATTCTCACTAGAGTGAGTTTCCCAAGAATGTTAGTTTCAATGACCATAGTAATTAAAGAACCATATTCATGGTTCCCTGAAACTGATGGAAATTTGGGTGAGAGCATTGGGATGAAAGCCTGGTCCCTGATCTGGACAAATTTAAGTTTGAAGTATGTTTTTATAACCACTAAGTGAAAATATGGAAGAGAGATCACTAGAGTAACAGATTTTGAAATCCTTCTCATAGTTGAGTGGTTGAATAATGTAATGAAATGAAATTCCTAGAGAGCATTTATAACTGCTACCAAAAAGGGGTCCTCATCCAGACCCCAAGAGAGGGTTCTTGGATTTCACCCAAGAAAGAATTCAGGGCGAGTTGGAGAGGAAAAGGAAAGCAAGTTTATTAAGAAAGAAAAGGAATAAAAGAAAGGCTACTTCATAGACAGAGCAGCCCAGAGGGCAGTTGGTTGCCCCCCTCTTTTTAGTTATATTTTAAGTTCTGGGATACATGTGCAGAATGTGTAGGTTTGTTCTATAGGTATACATGTGCCATGGTGGTTTGCTGCATCCATCAACCTGTCATCTACATTAGGTATTCCTCCTAATGTTATCCCTCTCCTAGCCCTGCACCCACCGACAGGCCCCAGAGTGTGATGTTCCCCTCCCTGTGTCCATGTGTTCTCATTGTTCAACTCCCACTTATGAGTGAGAACATGCAGTGTTTGGTTTTCTGTTCCTGTGTTAGTTTGCTGAGAATGATGGTTTCCAGCTTCATCCATGTCCCTGCAAAGGACATGAACTCATCCTTTTTCATGGCTACATAGTACTCCATGGTGTATATGTGACACATTTTCTTTATCCAGTCTATCACTGATGGGCATTTAGGTTGGTTCCAAGTCTTTGCTATTGTGAATAGTCCTGCAATAAACATACATGTGCATGTGCCTTTATAGTAGAATGATTTATAATCATTTGGGTATATACCCAGTAATGGGATTGCTGGATTAAATGGTATTTCTGGTTCTAGATCCTTGAGGAATCGTCACTGTCTTCCACAATGTGAACTAATTTACACTCCCACCAACAGTGTGAAAGCATTCCTATTTCTCCACATCTTCTCCAGCATCTGTTGTTTCCCGACTTTTTAGACATCTCCATTCTAACTGGCATGAGATGGTATCTCATTGTGGTTTTGATTTGCATTTCTCTAATGACCAGTGACGATGCGCTTTTTTTCATGTTTGTTGGCCACATAAATGTCTTCTTTTGAGAAGTGTCTGTTCATATCCTTCACCCACTTTTTGATGGGTTTGTTTGTTTTTTTCTTGTAAATTTATTCAAGTTTTTTGTAGATTCTGGATATTAGCCCTTTGTCAGATGAATAGATTGCAAAGATTGTCTACCTTTCTGTAGGTTGCCTGCCCATTTTCTTGATTATATCCTAAACCAACGGGTGGATTATTCATGCCTCCCCTTTTTAGATATATAGGGTAACTTCCTGATGTTGCCATGGCATTTGTAAACTGTCACAGTGCTAGCAGGAGTGTGGCAGTGAGGACGACCAGGGGTCACTCTCATTGCCATCTTGGTTTTGGTTGGTCTTTATGACCTGTGTCTTGCACCAACCTCCTATCTCATCCTGTGACTTAGAATACCTTAATCATCTATGGATGCAGGCCCGTAGTTCACAGCCTCATTTTACCCAGTCCCTATTTAAGATGGAGTTGTTCCATTTCAAATGCCTCTGAAATAACTAGAAAACAAATAGGACTGAGAAAAAACTTTGAAATCTGCAACATGTTTGAGATTATTCATAGATTTAGTGAGATAAATGGAAGGAGAACTAGGGAATAAGGTTGATTATATAAACAAATGAAGAGTTTTATGAAAAAGCATCTAAGTATTGCCAATATGTCAACTCAGAAAGACTTTCAATATAAGTGACATATAACACAAGGGACATATAACAATTTTGACTGTTTTAGTCAGGGTTTTTTCAGAGAAATAGAACTATTAATAATAGTAGATAGATAGAGAGATAGAGCTATAATACATAGAGATTTATTATTGGCTCATGTGTTTATGTAGGCTGAGAAGTACCACAATCTGTCATCTATAATCTGGAGACCTAGGAAAACCAATGGTGTAGTTCTGAGAACTGATGTAAGTTCTAATTCGAGGGCAGGAGAATAATAATATTTCAGCTCAGCAGTCAGGCAGAGAGAGCAAATTGTCCCTTCTTCCATCTTTTTGTTCTATTCAGGACCTCAGTGAATTGCATGATACTCATCCTCATTGAGGAGGGCCATTTGCTTTATTCAGTATACCAGTGCAAATGCTAATCACATCCAGCATCACCTTGCACACACACCCAGGAATAACTTTTAGCCAAATATCTGAGCACCCCTTATCCAGTCAAATGGATACATAAAATTAATCATCACATTGACCATATGTCATTGTCCAATATAGTAAGGTAAATACCATTTTCCCATTGAGAAGACTCATTTAAAATTTTGATGGCAATTTTAATGTATAAAGTCCAGACTCCTAGATAATATTAATTATTAATTAATTTGTTAATTTAACTATCTACATAGTTATAATTACCTATAACAACAAATCAATTTTAAATATTATTTATCAAGTGTCACAAAATCATAAGTAGAACATTGATTTTTAATTATTTTATGTTTGTGTACAATTTTACTCAGGGGACGTGGGATCCTCCTCTAGCCTCTGATATAAAAATAATCTTGATATTCCCACACTGATTAAGTTGTGGTGACCATGTAGAATGATTTTGGAAATTCAGGCATATGAGGAAGTCCACTGAGGTGCTTTTGAAAAAAAAAAGAAAAAAACAATGTTCTCCTGATAAAAAGAGAAATGAACATAACGCAAAGGTTCCTCTCCCTTTTCCTGCCTTTTGACACAGTTGTTTAAGAACACGATGCCCTAAGTACTGTTCACGACTTCCTAACTTCCTATCTTGTAACTTTAAGGGCTTAAATCAGCATATTTATGAAATAGCAAAAAGGCCTAAGAACTTAGGTTTTTCATAACATTATTGAGCCACTGAACTAGCCCTGATACCGCAACCTCATGATGTTTTGCCATCAGGGTTAACAAATATCCTTGCTGTTTAAGCCACTTATAGTCAGACATTCTCTTACCTCCAGCTCAAAGTATTTTAAATGATGCAATAAACAAGATGAGAAGTTAGCAAAATGGCAGCAGACTTGACTTAGTCATGGTTCAACACTAGATGCACATGTTTTCAAATGGGAGTTAGCAGTAAGAAATAAAAAAGACAAGTGATATTTGACAACAAGCAACTGCAAATGTCATAGTTTTTGTGAAGCTTCTTAGTTACTATCTTATCACTAATTTGTTTGTTTTCTGAGTAGCTTCCAAGTAGGCAAATCATAATCACTTGAAGATGCTTGTTAAAATGTAGATTTATTGGCATCATCACTTTCAGACTTTCAATCCACAAGAGTTTATGAATCTACATTTTAAACAATCCCAAAGGGATTCTTGTGTAGATTAAAGTTAGGGCTGCCAAGAGATAAATTTAGGGTGTTAATCCCAACAGCTCTAAATAGGGAGAACTAATCACAGAGTCCTGAGCTCTGTTTAGCCCCTCACCTTTCCTGAGCCAGCAGAGTACCTCCTGTGCTGGGTAAAATTAAGATTTTTGGTTTCAGCGACTTAAAGGATAGGGAGTTATCATCATTGGCAGGTAATGATAATAATTACCCAGCACTGGAGGTACTTTGCTGGCTCAGGAAAGGTGAGGTGGCTAAACCTTCCAATGGGGCTACACTTCTTCCCACTTGAAAAGACATGAGAATGAGGAACAAATAGAAATGCAGCAGATATTTCAAACAAGAAGATATTTGAAAAGAAACGTGTTTTTCATAATTAAATAAATTAGGAACCAAGTCAAACAAATTTAAAATAGTAACTGGGGCAAAATCAAGATAGTTCAAAATAAAAAATGATATGTGAAAAAGTACAGATAATCAGCATAGGTGACCCCATTTAAAAAATCCTAAACAGGAAGAGAGATACAGAACAGTGAACAGGGAGGCAATTCCATTATTGAAACAATGCCAATACTCTACTTCCTGGAAACACTTTTCCTTGTATCTAAAGGTGACAAATAATTCACTAATGTATTTTGTGTTACTGTATTAATAGAGAAAAATGTGTGGTGGATATTCAAGGCAAAGGAAATAACTAGTCCTTGATTCTACCACTTATTTCAGGAAGAAAAAATGCTTGAGTGAATAAACAAATGAGTTCATAAATAGCATGTTTAAAATTAGTAACTCAACAATAGTTATTTAAATATGATAATATAAAACTTGCTTTTTCTGTTTTTTTCTTTTTTGTTTTTTTTCAAGACAGAGTCTTGCTCTATTGGGCTGGAGTACAGTGGCGCAATCTTGGCTCACTGCAACCTCTGCCTACTGGATTCAAGCAATTCTCCTGCCTCAGCCTCCCGAGTAGCTGGGATTACAGGCACCCACCACCATGCCCGGCTAACTTTTGTATTTTTAGTAGAGACGGGGTTTCACCATGTTGGTCAGGCTGGTCTCGAACTCCTGACCTTGTGATCCACCTGCTTCAGCCTCCCAAAGTGCTGGGATGACAGGCGTGAGCCACCACGCCCGGCCCAAAACTTGTTTTAAAAATAATTACAATTTTGGTTTCAGTGACTTAGAGGCTAGGGAAATCCTGATCCAAGGAAGACCTTTGATCTCATTGTTCTCCTCAGCCGTTCTTCAAACTACTCCTCCAGAAGTCCCTCAATAAAATGGCTTACCCCTACCAAAAAAAAAAAAAAATTAACATTTTAAGGCAAGTGAAAAGAAAATTTAGAAACATAGCAAAACTATTCTGAACCAAAAATGAGCTGTTAATATATTTCCTAACTGTAGCAGGCAAATGTCAGCTTGATTTTCTTATCCAAACTGAGAAATATATGCCCTCCTTGTGAAGGGACTATTAGTCAGAATTTGATCTGTCCAAACTACTCTTGTAGTTTTTGTATAATAAATGAGTTATAAAATGATGCATCATTAATATCCTTGTTTATTCTCAGTGATTAAAGATATCATAATTTGTGTTTATTTCAGTTTTATCAATATGGAAATTGGTGACCACTAATTGATATTATATTTTCCCACTCTGCCATTGCACATTCTTTTATCAGGAAATTATTCAAGATAGAAATTAAAGTATCTCAGATTTTTTTTAAAAATTCAGAACCCCTTGCAATTTTATTCTTCTAGGCAGTGTTTAGTTCATGACTATCACTCAGCTGTTCAGGACAAAAATACTATTGCTCGATAGATTCTCTGGGATTAGAGTATACTTTTGAAACATCAATATACAGGAGTCTTTAAAATGGGTTAAAAACAGACTTGATTGTAGTGGCTCCATTGCAAAACAATGGGCCATCTGTTTCATTAAGTCTTTAACAGTACTCAGTCCTTTACTTCCTCTTGGCTAAATCTGTTTTTATCCCCCCAGAATTGTTGAGTTTCAGCCAGCCTAATTCACAACCCTCTTCAAGAGTTGTTCTCTTTCTAAATAGCTGAGCATCAGCTGGCTCAGCCACTGAATCGCTACCAGAATATTATTGCCTCCCTCCTTTCCACATTCTCCTTATAAGTCTATTTTCTCTAGTAGTTGGAAGCAGCTGACATACATAAATTTGAACAAAAAAGTTTTATATAATACAATGCATTATAAAATACTGAAATACTCAGTAGATACATATTAAAAATGCACTTGCATATGTGTGTGTGTATAAAGTGATGTCTCACTTTTCTTCTAATTTCAATGTCATAAACATTCCATGCTTGTTACCACTTAGAAATTGTCACCAAAATAATGCCATTGTGCAAAATACTGTTGATCGTCTTTTCATGATTCTATCTTAATTTTATTTAGTTAACCATTTCAATTAACTTAGCTATTTGCCTCTGCTATCTCTCCAGAGAAGGTGGTTCTGATTAGATCTCAAAGACTGGCTGTTTTACTAGCTTATTTCACTAATTAAAAAAAAATCCAGTAGAATTTATCATTTGTACTTTCAAAAAAGATCATAAATGAGAAACTATTGTACACCAGATACAGTGCTGCTGAGCTCTCTAAGCTCTGGGGAGCAAATGCTGGGGAAACCTCTCTTCACAACACCACACTAAATATTCTGTATGATAACATGTAGTACATAATGGAAGCAATAAACAAAGCGAAGTCTGACTGGAAAGGTAAGGCATACAGCTTCAGGGAACAAGCTCTCCTATGATAAGTAGGGGTTTTCAAGAAAGCTAAAGAAGAAAATTCCCTGTGGGTGGCAAAAGGAAATGTTCTCCATTATAACAAAGTGCATCATAACATAGTGCATAAAAGTGACTGCCTGTAATTCTGTACGAACATATGATAAAGTACAAAAACAGAGGGGCCAAAAATTATGCCCGGATCTAGATCCTGGAGAACTCTGTGAGCCAAGGAAAAGAAATTATCTTTATCCTAAAGGTTTTAGGCTAAGAATGGGTATGAAGGAAAGACAGAGTGGTCATAGGCTATGATAGAGCCACAGAACTTGTTATTATCTGGAGGAGAAAGAATCACAATGCAAAGGTAATTTCACTGGAGATAGAAGAAAGACCAATTTAAAGAATGTGTGAGAGGTAATTTCAACAATGTTGGTAAGGAAGTGGATGTAGGAAATTAAGAAAATGAAGATTTGTGATTAAATGTTGTTTTTATTTTTTTAGGTTGAGCTTTTTATGATATTGTACGGCCATCAACAGGGAGTTGAAATTGTATAGGAGAGTAGATTTGTAGAGTGTAAAAAAATGTTTCTTGTTGGACACACCGAGTTTGAGATGCCTGTGGTAGATTTCAACAGACAACTGGGTGCATAGACTTGAAGTTAAGGGAAAAGCTCCATGTCAGAGATAAGATTTAGGAGTCGTCACCATAACTCGTAGTTATAAAAGTCAATCCAGGGAAAGTTGAGAGCAAGAAGGTGCTGAGGCTGGGAAGCTCAGGACTATCCATACATGTAGGATATGAACAGACAGAAATTCCAGGACAACATTGCAATGAAAAATATAAGAGAAATGGGAGAGAAAATAAAAATTTGTGATGAAATAAAAATTTTTTAAAATGAAGAATAAAGTAATCATCATGTAAAAATTACAAATACACATGGAATCAATGCAAATGCCCATCAATGATAGACTAGATAAGGACAATGTGGTACATATACACCATGGAATACTATGCAGCCATAAAAGGAACGAGATCATATCCTTTGTAGGGACATGGATGAATCTGGAAGTCATTATCCTCAGCAAGCTAACACAGGAAGAGAAAACCAAGCACTACATATTCTCACTTATAAGTGGGAGCTGAAAAATGAGAACACATGGACACTGGGAGGGGAACATCACACACTGGGGCCTGTGCGGGGAAATTGGGAGCAGGAAGCATCAGGATAAATAGCTAATGCATGCCGGGCTTAATACCTAGGTGCTGGGTTGATTGGTGCAGCAAACCACCATGGCATATGTCTACCTATGTAACAAACCTGCATGTCCTGCACAGGTACCCTGGAACTTAAAATAAAATAAAAATAATTAGGTCAATAAAAATGAAAATAAAAGAAATATTCAACTCAAAAAGATAGGAATACAGCAAGAAGTTTAAAAAATATACCTAAATCACTGGGAATGGTGGCTCATGCCTGTAATCCCAGCACTTTGGGAGCCACAGGTGAGCAAATCGCTGGAGCCAGGATTTCAAGACCAGCCTGGGCAACATGGCAAGATCCTGTCAAAAAAATACTAAAATTAACTCAGCGTGGTGGTGTGTGGTTGTGGGTGCCTGCAGTCCCAGCTGCTACGGAAGCCGAGGTGAAAGGATCGCTTGAGCGCCTGGAGGTAATGGCTGCAGTAAGCCAAGACTGCACCACTGCCCTCCAGCCTGGGTGACAGACCTTGTCTCAAAAAACAAAACAAAACAACAAAACAAAACAAAACAAATATACTTAAATCTTCTTAAGGGTGAGGAATATTACTTTACTTATAAAAATATTTTATTGATACATAATAATTGTATATATTTATGGAGTACATGTGATACATCCATACAATGTGTAATGATCAAATCATGTTAATTAGGATATCCATTGCCTCAAACATTGATTACCTTTTAGAACATTCTAAAACTTCTCTTCTAGCTATGTTTATATACGCAATAAATTGTTAACTATAGTCATCTTATGGTGCTCTCAAATGCTAGAACTTATTCCTTCTGTGTTTTTATAACTATTAACCAACCTCCCTTCCCTCCCTTCTCCCCACTACCCTTCCAGCCTCTAGTAACCATTATTGTGTTCTTTACCTTCAAGAGATCAACATTTTTCTAGCTTCCACAACTGAGTGAGAAAACACAATATTAGGTTTTCTGTACCTGGCTTATTTCACTTAACATAATGTCCTACAGTTCTTTCCATGTTGTGCAAGTGACAAAATTCCATTCTTTTTTATAGCTGAATAATATTCCATTCTGTATATGTACCACATTTTCTCTATTCATTTATCCATTAATGAATTATTAGGTTGATATCATATTTTGGCAATGGGAAATAGTGCTGCAATATACATGGTACTATATACATCTCTTCCATATACTGACTTCTTTTCTTTTGGATAAATACTCAGCAGTAGGATTGCTGCATCACATAGTATATCTATTTTTAGCTAGTTAAGAAACCACCTACTGTTTTCTATAGTGGCTATACTAGCTTACATTTCCACCAACAGTATACTGAGATTTCCCTTTCTCTGCATTCTGGAAAGCATTTGTTATTTTTTCTGTTTTTGAGGATAGCCATTCTAATTGAGTGAGCTGATACCTTATTGTGGTTTTGATTTACATTTTCCTGTTGATTAGTGATGTTGAGTATGTTTTCATATACCTGTTGGCTGTTTGTATGCTGTCTTTTGTGAAATGTCTATTCAGATCATTTTCCATTTTTATTTGCATTATCTGTTTCTTCGTTATTGAGGAGTTGAGTTCCTTATATATTCTGATTATTAATCCTTTGTCTGATGGATAGATTGTAAATATTTTCTCTAATTCTGTAGGCTTTCTCTACCTTGTCGATTATTTCCTTTGTTGTGTGGGAGCTTGTTAGCGTGACAGAATCCCATTTGTCTATTTTGCTTTGGCTGACAGTGCTTTTGAGGTCTTCTAGTAGTTTTATAGTTTCAGCGCTGACATTTAAGCTTTTAATGCATTTTGATTTGATTTTGGTATGTAGTGAGAGGGATGTAGTTTTATTCTTGTCCATGTGAATATCCAGTTTTCCCAGGACCATTTATAGTAGAGACTGTCTTTCTTCAAAAGGTATATTCTTGGTGCCTTTCTCAAAAATGAGTTCACTGTTGGTGTATAGAAATGCTATTGATTTTGCACCCTGTTTTTGTATTCTGCAACTTTATTGAACTTGTTTTATCAGTTCCAACAGTTTTTTTGGTGGAGTCCTCAGTTTGTTTTTTTTTTCCAAATATAGGATCATATTGTCTGTGAACAATGATAATTTGACTTCTTTTTTTCTAATTTTGATACCCTCTCTTCGCTTCCCTTGCCTATTAGCTCTGGTTAGTACTTTCAGTACTATATTGAATAAATGTGTAAAGTGGACATTTTTGTTCCAGGTGCTACAGGAAAAGCTTTCAGTTTTTTATCAGTATGATGTTAGCTATGGGTTTGTCATATACAGGCTTGATTGTGTTGAAGTATGCTAGTTCTATATGCAGTTTGTTGGGATTTTTTGTCACGAAAGAGTATTAAGTTTTATTGAATGCTTTTTCAATATCTATTGAAATAAACATATAGTTTTGTTTCCTATTTATTTGTTTGCATATGTTGAAGCATCCTTGCATCCCTGAGATGAATCCCACTTGATCATGATGAATGATCTTTTTAATGTGTTGTTGAATTTGGTTTGCTAGTATTTTGTTGAGAATTTTTACATCTATGTTCATCAAGATATTGGCCTATAATTTCCTTTTTAGATTGTGTCCTTGATTTCGTTTTGGTGTCACACTAATGCTGGCCTTATAGAGTGAATTTGCAAGTGTTTTCTCCTCTTCACTTTTTTTTAAAAGAGTTTGAGTAGAATTGGTCTGGGCTCTTCTTTAAGAGTTTGATAGATGTTCCCCTTCTTATGTCAATGTGTTCTCATTTTTCAACTCCCACTTATGAGTGAGAACATGCGGTGTTTGGTTTTCTGTTCTTGTGATAGTTTGCTGAGAATGATGGTTTCCAGCTTCATCCATGTTGGTGGGTTGGGGGCTAGGGGAGGGATAACATTAGGAGAAATACCTAATGTAGGTGACAGGTTGATGGGTGCAGGAAATCACCATGGCATGTGTATACCTGTGTAACAAAACTCCACATTCTGTACATGTACCCCAGAAATTAAAGTGTAATTTAAAAAAAGGAGGAAAAAAAAGATGGAAAAAAAAAGGGAGTTTAGTAGATTTCAGCAATGAAGCCATAAGGTCCTGGGATTTTCTTTGATGGGAGACTTTTTATTACTGCTTCAATCTTGTCACTCATTATTGTTCTGTTCATGTTTTCTATTTTTTCGTAGTTCTACTTGGGTAGGTTGTATATGTCTAGGAATTTATCTATTTTCTCTAGGTTTTCCAATTTGTTAGCTTATAGTTATTCATAATAGTTTCTAATGACCTAATAGTTTCTAATATTTTTGTGGTATCAGTTGTAATGCCTCTTTTTTAATGTATGATTTTATTTATTTGGGTCTTCTCTCTTTTTCTCTTAGTCTAGCTAAAGATTTGTCAATTTTGTTTATCTTTCAAAGCACTACCTTTTTAGTTTGCAGCTCTTT
This sequence comes from Homo sapiens, assembly GCF_000001405.40. Taxonomy (NCBI): domain Eukaryota; kingdom Metazoa; phylum Chordata; class Mammalia; order Primates; family Hominidae; genus Homo; species Homo sapiens. The sequence continues at coordinate 130,149,692 of NC_000004.12, read as the reverse complement.
TATATTTTTTTGTCACAATTTCTTTTACTTCTGATCTGATCTTTGTTATTTCTTCTTTCTACTAATTTGGGGTTTGGTTTGTTCTTGCTTATCTAATTCCTTGAGGTGCATGATGAGTTTCTTTATTTACATCTTTTCATATTGCCTATTTCTTAACCAATTATAGTTATTATTGTTTTTAATCCATATGTCTAGTGTTTCCTTATTGGAACACTAAGCATGTGGGAGTTATTTATATCCTACTGCTCAAGGTCATTGCCTAGGTCTGATTGCAAAAATTCAAAAAATTACACCGTCAGTAATAAATGGGTTAATAGTTTGTCTTTCGGTCTTCATACTTTCAATATAAGTGGTTTACTTAGCCGAATAATAGGTTAGAGTGTTCTGTATTTGCTTTTCTTGTACCAGTGAGTTTAACCTTCAGATGTTTTCTTGTTACATGTTAGCATCCATTTCTTACAATGAAGAACTCTCTTTAGCATTTCTTGTGTTGGTGAATTCCCTCAGCTTTTGTTTGTCTGGGAAAGTCTTTATCTTTCCTTTGTGTTTGAAGCGTAGCTATGCTGAGTACAATATTTGTTGACATTTTCTTTTCCTTCAGCAGTGTAAATATAGCATCCCATTCTCTCCTGGCCTGCAGGTTTTCTGCTAAGAAATCTGCTCAAAACTATATTGGGGCTCTGTTTAATGTAATATGTTTCTTTTCTCTTGATGCCTTGAATATTTTTTCTTTTCCTTTGATTTTTGCAAATTTATTTATGATTTGCCTTAGGAATTTCCTCTTTGATTTGAATTTAATTTGTGACCTCTGACCTTCCTTTACCTATATGGTGTTGTCTTTCTCCGGATTCAGGAAATTTTCAGCCATTATTTCTAATACAAATTTTTTAGACATTTTTCTCTCTTGTTGCCTATGAAAATTCCTATTATGCACAGATTAGTTCATTTGATAGTGTCACGTAATTCTCATAGGCCTTCTTTACTCTTTTTATTTTATCTTTTTGCTTCTCTGATTGAATAATTTTACATGCTTTATCTTCAAGCTGCTAATTCTTTCCTCAGTTTGATCGAGTCTGCTGTTGAAACATTTTAATGAGTTTTCAGTTCAGTTATTGTATTCCATATGTCTACATTTTCTATTTGGATTAAATTGTTTCTATTTGTTTATAAAATTTCTCATTTTTTTCCTGGATTGTTTTCCAAATTTTATTTAGGTTTCTACCCACATTGTTGTGATTTCCTGAACTTCTTTAAGAGGATTATTCTAAATTCTCTGTTCAGTATTTCATAGACTTTCAATTCTTCTGGGTCTCTTCTTGGTGCTTTGTTGCTTTCTTTTGGTGATGTTATGTTTCCCTGAGCTTTCACCAATCTTGTGTCTTTAAACTGGGGCCTACACATTTGAAGAGACACTCACCTCTTCCAGTTTTTGCAGTTGTCTAACACCACTGTATTAGACTTTTGCTACATAACATTGAAACTTAATTGCTGGCTTGTTGTTTTCTACCATTCTGGAGAGGACTGTAAGTAAGCACTATAAGTAAAATACTCCTCTGGAATTAACTTGTTTCCCTACCATTATTTCCAGGTCTGGGGGAGACTTATAGTGGACACTGGAACTTAAACATCACTGCAGAACTAAATTGCTGCACTGATGTTGTTTCTCAATGTGAGGAAGACTTATAGTGAGCACTGAAAGCTGAATGTTGTCCCAGAACTCTATTGCTGTTTTGCCTTTGTTTTCCAGACCAGGGAATACTTAAGCGGGGACTTGAACTTAATCCCAACCTTTTAATTATTTCCAGACTAGAGGAAGGTACCATGGGAACACATGGGCTTTGTGAAAAAAGCTGGTTAAGAATTCAGGCCTTCCTGCAAATTGTGACCCCTGCTGTGCTAGTCTCTTCACTATGACAACGCTATTGATGGCAACACAGAATAGCCTCCAAAATATGAGTGCCAGCCATTGTGATCAGTACCCTGCTCTTCATTCTCAATTCACCAGGGGTGGTTGAGCCCACCTGACACTCTCAGTGGTTCCTGTGGGACAGGACCAGAGTGAGCTTCTTGCAAAGATTCCCAGACTGGTGAGGAGATCAAACGCCCACCTTCAATTTGCTCCTCTCACCTTGGCAATTGTGGTCTAGGGAAATTCTCTGTGAATGGCATTATGCTGGCTTATGGGAGAGGGCTGCACAGTCTGAAATGACCATTTCTTTTGCCAATTGTAGCTTCTCTTGATTCCGTAAGCCCAGTGGGTTTCTTTGCTTCTCTCTAAATTCTGGTGAACTCAGGGTGTTATTTTTGTCTTTGAATAGTTTCTAGTTGTATTTTTGTGGGAGGAATGATGCCAGGGAATATTCCATTCCACTGTCTTGCTGACATTCTCCCTATACTACATTTTTAACTGCTTGTGGGCATGACCACATTGGTATATTATGTTTTATCTATATATTTCAAAGCACTGAACCAATGTTTTGCACAAAATATGTGTGCTGAAAATCTGATGATAACACACACAAACATGTTTTTAAACATCTTAAATCCATATATGTGAGTACTGAATATAAAGTAGCATGGACAAGTCAAATAGCTGAAATATGTCAGCTAGGATAGCCAGGTTAAAGACAGAAATAGAAGAGAATGGTAGTATGAAGAGTGACGTATATGCAGTTTGATTTGGAAAAGACCACAGGTCACTGGTCTATTTGTGCAGTCTTAGATAATGACAACTTTGCCTGAGCTATTTCTGAATGACTAATGATAATGTCAATAACATGCAGCTCTACTCTTCACTGGAGTTATTGAAATCTGTCATCAAAATGAATTGATGTGCTTGTGCATTGGTAGGGAACAATATCCTTTAGCCATCGAGATTAAATCATTATTGACCAAACATATAGCCCAAAAGATTATAGGTTAGGCAGAGTATTGTTAGGGGAAAAAAAGTCAAAACACCCTTTTTCTTCTTACCATTTTGTCAAGCCTCAGTTCATCTTGGGCTTTAGAATTAATGTTGCTCTCCTTACAGGTTTTCTAAGCTTAGTTTTTGTTATACTGTGTATTTTGATAATATGAACTCATTAGAGAATTTATTGACAAAACCCTCAGATTCTCTAAGTATCTTTAGATTTTCTTGAACAGCTATAATATCTGTGTTTACATTGAAAGCATTGGGTATATTGCAAATTTTAAATTAGGAAGCCTATTTATATTTTCTTGGAATATTATTATTAAAATCTTGGATAAAAGTCTGATTATAGTAATACTTTTCTGATATCACTGTTTTGGAAAACTTATATCATTTTATTTTAGCAAGTAATTCCTCTTCATATTCAAAATTGATGCAAAGAAGTGGCCCTGCTTCAGTTTTCTATCTTATCCAGAAAGCTACTACGAGAAATAACAAATGGCTTGTTGAAGCCCAGATGCACAGAGTTCAACATATATGCCTCATCAATCAATCAAGTGACTTTATTAAAAAGGTAATGTTATATAAATGTCACTGTTTTTATAGATAATCCATATCACTCTCCTTCTGCCATATATTAATGACCTTCTGTTTATTCCTAGTATCAATATTTTAGTTTTTGTGCATGCAGATTACTTAATAACTTTGTTTACTCTCATTTCTACTTGTCTATCATATTAATTTCCTTCTGATAAACTCCATGTCTAAAGTCTTTTTTCTTCAGTGTCTTTCTCCAGTACAGCCTGCACATTCCTATCAGATATGTCATTTAAAGCTACTTCTCTATGTATTGCCCTGTTTAAAAGCTTCCATTGTTTCCCCATGTCCATTGAACACACTTCCATGCTTTATCCCTTAATATTACCATTCTATTTACCATATTTTGATTTTTTCAAAATACCTCAATGATTTGGCCTTTCTTCTCTTCACCTACAGGAAGTTCAATGGCATACTTAGGGCCAGGTGCAGGCAGTGTTCCCTGGATGAGGCAGTGAGGTATGAGGAAGAGTGTTGAGTTTATTATCTGTAGGCAATTATTAAAAAATAAAATCTAACAGAAGTCCATTTGATATTTATTATCACCTATTTAAGCAATTCTAAATGATGTCTGAAATAAAATACTCCTTTATTAAAAAACTCCACTTGGTCTAAATTCTAAATAGCTGCTGCAGTTATGATTGGGTTTTCATACTGTATATGTAAGCTGTAAATTAACACTGTTTTATTATCCTATAATGAACATTGTTTTCTATATAGAGTTAATTCATATAAGTCCCAATTATTTAATCAGCCAAAACAGGTATGGACTCAAAGAAACGGATTCACTTTCAAGAATATGTATGTAAGTAATTATTCAGTAGGCTTGAGCTTGCTTTGGGCAAAATGGTAGTAATTTTCCTGGATATAAACACTAGATTCAAATTAAGTGATAATATTATAATTATGAATACAAAGAAACAGAAGTCAGTTTAATTCTGACAGTCTATGTAACTAAGAGTTCTCATTTGTATACAAAATTATAACTGTGAAACAGGGAGAACTGAAGTGAAATATATTTCTTTAGCAAGCACAATTTTTGGCAGAATTTAGCAAGCATGAATTATATGTAGAAGTAAAGACTTTTACTTCTGAATGCTACTACATTGTAGGTATCATCCCATTATCATAGATATTTTCTGCCTTATATTCTAGGTATTCATGTGCATGCATTATTATTCTTAAACTTATGAGTTTCTTGATGACAGGTAATATGATTGATTATATTATGAATCTCCCCAAACCATTATCCTACTCCTTTGCACAATATATATTTATTGACTAAATGCAAATTTGTTCAGCAAAACTTTAATATTTGTAATTTTAGTGTATAATCAGTGATAAAGTTGGTACCCAATAATTAGTAATGTTTGTCTTATATTTAAATTGGTTTAAATGAAATATCACTATTTCAGATGACTATAAAAGAAAAAAAAGAAAAACTCTCATAAAATTATATACAGTAAGCAAATTTGGAAACTATCTCTACATTTACTAATTCAACAAAAAGCATTGAGTAAGCAAGTGTGGCAAGAACTCTTGCATATGCAAGAGAGACAAAGTTCCTGCTCTCATGGGGGTTAATAAAGCAGTAAGGAAAAGTTAGCTAGATAGTGATAAATTTTATAAAGAAAATAGGACAAAGAATGTGATACTCTGATAAATGCTCAGGGGAAGTTTAAGAATTTTAGAATGGGTTATCAGGGGTAAGAATTAACTAAGATCAATAAATTTGTATATATGTTACTATACATATATTACATTATTCTATATAATATATATACCGGACATATAACTATACATGTATGCCTATATATCTATTTCTGTATCATGGTACCAAAGAAAATGAAGAAAGTCAATATATTTTTGGATGATGAAAAGTGGATAGAGCTGCTCTGCAAAATAAATTGTGAAGGGAACGAGAAGACTGGCCACAGATTGTGTGAAAACATTTATAAAAGATATATCTTAGAAAGTACTATTCAAAATATGTAAAGAACTCTCAAAACTCAACAATAAGGAAACAAATAGCTTAAATTTGAAAAATGGGCAGAAGAGTAAATAAACACCTTACCAAAGAAGACATAAAAATGGCAACTGATCACATGAAAAGATGCTCAATATCAGATGTCACTGGGGAATTGCAAATTAAAACAACAATGAGATACAACTATCTACTTGTTAGAAAGGATAAAATCTAAAATACTGACTACACCAAATGCTGAGGAGAATGTGGAGCAACAGGAACTCTCATTCATTTTTCTGGGAATGCAAAATGCTACAGTGACTTTGGCAGACGGCTTGGTAGGTTCTTACAACACTAAACATACTCTTACCATATGATCCAGCAGTCACATTCCTTGGCATTTACCCAAATAAAGTGAAAACTTATGTCCACATAAAAACCTTCACATGAATGTATAAAGCAGCTTTATTTATAGTTGCCAAAACTTAGAAACAACCAAGATGTCTTTCAATATGTGAATGGATAAGCTTTGAAACATCCAGAGATTGGAATATTATTTGGTGTTAAACATAAATGAGTTATCAAGCCAAGAAAATATATGGAACAAACTTAAATACATATTACCATATAAAATAAGCCAATCTGAAAATGAACCTCTCTGTTCATTACCACTGCAGAGTAGATGATTCATTCCCTGGAACAGAAAAGGATGCAATTAAAAAATAGGAAGCAAGAGAAACATAATTTGCAGAAGTGAAGTATTCATCATAGGAAACAATGTTAGAATTGTTAGAAGCTCAAGTTAAGAAAACCTCCAAAAATGAAACCAAAGTAAAAAAAAATATGGATAATATAAAGCACATAGGAAAAAGATTGATTTAAGAAGAATCCAAAGAAAGGAATACATGAAGAAAAGTTTCCAAAAAAAAAAATTCAAAAACATTTTGATAAGAAAGCAGATTTTACGTGTCCTCACTACGCTCCCCCGACCACCCCCCTCCACACACAAAATGGTAACTAAAGATGATGATGGATGTTTTCACTAATTTGATGTGGTCATCATTATACAATGTATACCTATATCAAATTATCCTATTGTACACCTTAAGTATATGCAATTTTTATTTGCCAATTTTACCACAACAAAGATGTAATAAATATTTTAATAAATGTAATGAAATCATTAATTACTTAGAAAAAAATTAAACAGGCTCACATGAGTGTACATTTTAGTAAAATTTTAGCATAGTGGGATAAGGAAAATTTTATTTTTAAAAAAATGCATAAAATAACAATTTATATACAAAAGGATGTGGATGCAAATTCTCTAACATTAGAAGATAGACTATAATAAAGCCATGAAAATTCTGAAAAACCACATCAACCGAAAAATTCTGTAATTCAGCAAAGTAAGAGGAGAGGGCACAGAGGAAGGAATTTTCAAAATGAGAAGAAGAGCTAAAAAAATTTACCTACCTTACACCTCATTTCAAGAAGCTACTAGAACATATGTTTCCCAAATATGACAAATTAAATTAAAAAAGAAAATACACTGGATCCAGCAGTGTGTTTGCCATAAATGAGTGGTAAAGAGAAATCTAGTAGAGAGTGAAAAGCCCTCAGCACAATGATTCTGTAGCAGGCTTGGAACTCAGTCTATCCAGACTGAACTAAGAGAACCAAGAGGACTCAGAAGAGAGGTCTTGATGAAAATTTAATTAAGTGATTTCATAAAATGTTTGAGAAAGTGGTAAGTTATATAAAAGTGAGATCACATCTCTTTTGGTAAGTTTGGAAAATTATGTGATACATATATCTGGAAATACACAATCTTTTAAGGCAATTATTATCCATAGGAAGAGCAGAAAGGAAATGTAATCATGGTAAAAGACTCATACAATATTTACATAGCTTTTCATAATACAGCAAAAATATTGATTTAATAAAACTCATAGCATTAATTTAGAAGGATGGGGGAAAGAAACAAGAGTAGTAATTAAGATTAATAATTATTCGATTTTCATAAAATGGAGTCAGTAGATAATTTCTGAAGTTCATACTTCAAAAATAGCAGTAAAAGATACAATTTTTAAATATTGAAATAAACAGAAAAAATATTTTAAAAATAGATGAAAACATTTGTCTGTAGGGAGTCAGAATGGGATAAGTGAGGCAAGAGAGTTCTAATAATCTATTATAGCCTTGTAGGACTAGTTGACTTTTTAAACTATATGCATTTATTACTCTCAGAAGAATAAAAATGCTTAAAAGATTAAACAGAATAATAAGATCAGTAGGAGTAAAAAATTTCAAGGTTTGATGGTTTTGACGGTTCCCCACGTATGGGTGCACATAAGGCAGTTACTAGTACCGTACAGCTATTGTTGGAACTGAGACAGGCACCCGACTTTTCTCTAGGCAGAATATTTAAAGAACAAAGACGTTCAGGTTATCATCATTATATTTAATATATATCGTTTTTAGTATAAGAGAAGTCCTTCAATTACTCGTACTTTTCCAAGGTATTTGAAATATTCATCTGAACACACACATACACACACATTCTATTTCTATGGCTCATATTAGCTTTATTGACCTTTCCATTTCCTATGATATCAAATATCTAAACTCAAAAATAAAAAAATAATATTTTCATACTATATTAGTCATAATATTTTGGAACTGAAACTGCGTTCACTGGATTTTTTCAGTTTATCATTCTTGTGTGGCTCTTTTCTCCTTTACTTAGTATAGTCACAGCTATCAATTAATGGCATAATTTTTGGACATGCATGTATAAACACACAAACACACCTATATATATAGCTAGTGAATAATAAAGATATTTAGTTATCATTTATTTATAATAATGAAATCTTCCTTTTTAAATGATTAAAACAACTAATATTAATAGAAAAAAGAATGAAGTAAGGTGATTATATTTCAGATAAATGGAAACACACTTGCCTCATGAGCTATTTTATATCAATGACTTCAGGGACTGAGTTATCTTCTACTTAATGGTATACATGGATACAATATCAAAAATATATTTCCCCTTATATTTAAAAAAACAAAACCAAAAGTTGCATTTTAAAAAGTCAGGAAAAGGCATATTTTCAATGACAGTTGTTTCAATCCAGCTCTAAGACACTGAAAACAATTTCTGTTAATATTGTAAGTTCAAGAATAATATAGATTTAACTGCATGTAGGCACAAATGTAGAGAAAAATAATGTGATAAAAATAGGGTCTAGATGCAAAATACAAAAAAACTATTTTATATGTAATTAAAAGGCCATTAAAAATCTATAGTAGAATAAAGGATCATTCAATACAGGCTGCAAAACTATTAATAATCAGTTAATTTACTCCTAAATTCAACAAATGTTTATTGAGTTTCTATTACATACTAGGCACAGTTTAGTATTGGAAATGTAGCAGTGAAGAAACAAGATACCTAATACCATGGATATAACATTATGGTAAGGTGACAAGACAAAAACTGAATTAGTAAATAAACTATTAACAATTGATATAATAAGAAAAAGGCATTTACATGATAGATGAGGTAGAAAGAATGAGAGGAGTTACAATAGATAAGAGTCAGACAAGTCCTTCATGAGGAGTGATGTCTTAACTAAGTGTTGAAGGACTAAATCAAGCAATCACAGAATTGCTTTAGTATAGACTACAGAACGTCTATATTTCACTTGGTGAATTAGTATAAAGTGGACACATATAAAACGTCCAACCTGTTCAAGAAATGAAGCATTGCCAGGATCTCAAAAGCCCCCATAATGAACCTTCTCTATCACTAATTTTCCCTCAAAGACAAATTTATGGGAAACTGTAAAGCACTAGTTTACTTTTGACTGGTATTTTAACTTTCATTTATTATGCATTTTTTCTATGGATCCTTTTGCTTCTCCCGAATTGTCATATTCATATCTCTTGTTACATGAAACTGAACTTCATTAATTATATTGCTATATGTATATATATTGCCATCCATCATAAGAACATAACCCAATTTATTTATGCATTCTAGTGTTGGACTGCTTCCAGTTTTTGTCTATAATAGATGCCACTATTATGGACATTCTTGTACTTATCTCTTGCTGCAAATGTATTTCTCTTTATTATAAATCAAGAGCGATATGTTGGGTCATTGTGTATGCCTACTTTCTACTTGAGTAGGGTAGCAAGTTGGTTTTTTGAAGCAGATTTTGAGATAAAATACCTTTTAGAGGTATTTACTAGGCATCATCAACAACTGTGGAAGGTGGAGGAGGATGTAGCTTTTGGTCAGGGGAAAATCAAACTGTGATGAAGTCTAATAAAGCCTCAGTCAACTTCACAAGGAACTTGAGAGCATAAATAGCCAATTTGAGTTTCCTGCATTGGGCTGAAGTGACTGCCTCTCTCTTGCCTTTCTTTTTATAAAATATTCTTTGAAGACCGTAAGTTAACCTCGAAGTATGCCTTTAGTAGTATTTTACAAGTTGACATAGGTAGTGTTTTTATTATTTTTCAGTTTAAAATATTTTCCTTCTTTTCCCCATTACATATGTAGAATTCTATTCTCTATGTAATAAGCACATAGGGATTTTTTCAGACAATGTTTTGTTTTGGATTTCTAAATTTCACTTCTTTCAGAGAAAAAACTTTATATGGGGTCCTTCATCTGAAATTCACTGATACCTGCTTTATGGTCTGGTGTAATGGTTAATTCTGTTCACTTGGCTGTGCCATAGTGCCCATATATTTGGTCAAACATTATTCTGAATGTTTCTGTATGGCATTTTTTTAGATTAGATTAACATTTAAATCAATGGATTTTGAATAAGTGAATAGTCCTCATTTAATAAGTGGACAGCATAAATAGAACCAAAAGACTGACCTTTGTTGAGTAAGAGGAAATTCTACCAGCACTTGGCTTTCAAAATCAAACTTCAACATCAGCTCTTCCATGAATCTCCAACCTGTCAGCCTACCCTGTAGATTTTGAACTCGCAGGCCTTCTCCATAATGCCATGAGCCAATTGTGTAAAGTAAATTAATCTCTCTCTTTGTCTCTTACCCTCTACATACATACATACATATGTACATACATATTCTATTGGTTCTGTTTTTCTGGCGAACCCTAATATATTTAATATATGGTCAATTTTAGTAAATGTACCAGGGCATAAGGAAAGTGTGCATATCCTGCAATTGCTAGGTGCAAGATTATTTCATTCTTACGCCATATTTATTCAGGTGGCTCCAAAGTTTTATTTTCTTACTGAATTTTTGACTCAATCCTTAGAGCAGCATCTTAAATGCTCTCATTTTGATTATGTATTCATATGTTGTTCCTTTGAAATCTCCTCTATTTTTGCTTTACACATTTGAGGCATATTATCAGGTTCATACAGGTTTATAATTATTTCATCCTTAGCAAATTTAAACTTTATTATGTGATATGGTATATTGTCCTCGACTGTTTAGTGAATTAAAAGTTTTATCATTCTGATATGCTATAGTATACCATTTAGTTCCCTAGTAAATTAAAATTTTTGACATTATGTTATAATGGGTAGATCTTTGTCAATTGTTGTTATCCTTTCTGTAGTATTATGCTCTAGATTCCTCCTTTCACTTTGTATATATTTAATAGTTTTATTCTGAAATATTGTTATCATTTAACAAAATAATTTAGACTATATTTAATGTAATAATTGATACATTTGGTTTGAGTAAGATATTTTTTTGAATTCCATTTGCCTCCCCTGTACTGTCTGCTCCATGTTGCCCCCTTCCTATCTTATTTGGATTGATTATGTCTTATTATTTCACTTTTTCTTCCATTAGCCAGGAAGTTACATACTTCTTAACTATATATTTAGTCATTTCTCTAAAGATTATGGTCACCCAATGAAGGGAAATGAGCCCTTTCTCAAGTATTAAATCAGATGTCAAAGCTGATAACACTTCACACACCTTGAAAATTGAAAAAATTTATTACTCACACCAGGAACTTCTGGAGAGAGCAGAATAAGTGCAAACCAGTCTGGAAAGAAAACAGGAAAAAAAAATAACAGTAAGTTGAGATGGTGTAGTGTGTAAGGGATGGGGCTAAAAGGGATGCTCACGTGTGAAAGTTAGGGTTGCAAAGCTCAAGACTTCCACTAGTTCAGAGAGCACAGGAGGTGTGTTTTCTTATCTAAAATACAGGTATGTGGTAATAGGGAAAGGAAGGGCAAAGCATAAATTCTGCAATGGTAAAACATCCAAAATTAGGTCAAAATATTCATTAAACCTTCACTTATAAAAATCAAATATTAATTGATATTTTTCAACATCACCACAAATTATACCTTTCACTTAATTGCTATTGTTAAATCACAAGATGATGCAACAGTGTGTTCCACTTGTCCAAGTGCAGTTATAAGTTTAAATAGCTTCAAAATGTAAGCTATTAGCTTCTTAAAAATGTGTTGATGTTTTTGAAGCACCTTTCCTGTAAATATTCATTTTTATTTGTTTAATTTTTTAGTATTTTTGTTACTTTATATCTTAAACCTTTCATCCGGGATAACATTTCTTCTCCCTGAGGAATACACTTTTTAAATATTCTTTAATTTCCATAGATTATTGGGGAACAGATGGTGTTTGGTTACATGGGTAAATTCTTTAGTGGTGATTTGCAAGATTTTGGTCCACCCATCACCTGAGCAGTATATACTGCGACCTATTTGTAGTCTTTTATCCCTCACCCACTTCCGACCCTTTCCCTCTGAGTCCCCAAAGTCCATTGTGTCATTCTAATGCCTTTGCATCCTCATAGCTTAGCTCCCACTTAAGAGTGAGAACATACAATGTTTGGTTTTCCATTCCTGAGTTACTTCACTTAGAATAATAATCTCCAATCTCATCCCGGTCCCTGTGAATGCCACTAATTCATTCCTTTTTATGGCTGAGCAGTATTCCATCATACATGTGTATGTTTATATATATACATGTGTATGTATATATATATATATACACACACACACACACACACACACATATACATATACATATATATACACACACGTATATATATCTCACAGTTGCTTTATCCACTCATTGATTGATGGGCATTTGGGTGGGTTACAAGTTTTTGCAATTGTGAATTGTACGGCTAAAAACATACGTATGCAAGTATATTTTTTGTATAAGGACATCTTTTCCTCTGGGTAGATACCCAGTAGTGGGATTGCTGGATCAAATGATAGTTCTACTTTTAGTTCTTTGCAGAATCTCCACACTGTTTTAAATAGTGGCTGTACTACTTTACATTCCCATCAGCAGTGTAGACATGTTCCCTCTTCACCATATTCATGCCAACATCTACTATTTTTTTTACATTTTTAATTATGTTTGTTTTTTTTTCTTGTTGGTTTGAGTTCATTGTAGATTCTGGATATTAGTCCTTTGTCAGATGTATAGATTGTGAAAATTTGGGTTGTCTGTTTACTCTGCTGACTGTTCCTTTTGTCATGCAAAAGCTCTTTGGTTTAATTAAGTCCCAGCTATTTATCTTTGTTTTAATTTGCTTTTGGGTTCTTGGTCACGAAATCCTTGCCTAAGCCAATGTCTAAAGGAATTTTTCCAATTGTATCATCTAGAATTTTAATAGTTTCAGGTCTTAGATTTAAGTCTTTAATCCATCTTGAGTTGATTTTTGTATAAGATGAGAGATGAGGATCCAGTTTCATTCTCCTACATCTGGCTAGCCAATTATCTCAGCGCTATTTGTTGAAAAGGGTGTCCTTTTCCCACTTTATGTTTTTGTTTGCTTTGTCAAAGATCAGTTGATCATAGTTTTTGGGTTTATTTCTAGGTTCTCTATTCTGTTCCATTGGTCTGTGTGCCTATTTTGTACCAGTGCCATGCTGTTTTGGTTGGCCTTATAGTATAGTCTGAAATCAGGTAATGTGATGCCTCCAGATTTGTTCTTTTTGCTTAGTCTTGCTTTGGCCATGCAAGCTCTTTTTTGGTCATATGAATTTCAGAATTGTTTTTTCTAATTTTCTGAAGAATGATAGTGGTATTTTTATGGGGAATGTATTGAATTTGTAGATAGCTTTTGGCAGTATGGTCATTTTCATAATATTGATTCTACCCATCAATGAGCATGAGATGTGTTTCCATTTGTTTGTGTCATCTATGATTTCTTTCAGCAGTGTTTCATAGTTTTCCTTGTAGAGGTCTTCCACCTCCTTGGTTAGGTATATTCCTAAGTATTTTATTTTTTCTGCAGCTATTGTAAAGGGGGCTGGTTCTTGATTTGATTCTCAGCTTGGTCACTGTTGGTGTATAGAAGAGCTATTGATTTGTGTACATTAATTTTGTATCTGGAAACTTTGCCGAATTCTTTTATCAGTCTTAGGAGCTTTCTAAAGGAGTCTTTAAGGTTTTCTAGGTATATAATCATATCATCAGAAACAGTGACAGTTTGACTTCCTCTTTACCAATTTGAATGTCCTTTATTTGTTTCTCGTCAGACAAGAGAAACATAGACTTCTAGTACTATGTTGAAGAGGAGTGGTGAGAGTGGGCATCCTTGTCTTGTTCCAGTTCTCACAGGGAATGCTATCAATTTTTCCCCATTCAGTATTATGTTGGCTATGGGTTTGTCATAGATGGTTTTTATTATATTGAGGTATGTTCCATGTATGCTGATTTTGCTGAGAGTTTTAATCATAAACGGATGCTGGAATTTTGTGGAATGCTCTTTCTGTATCTATTGAGATGATCATGTAATTTCTGTTTTTAATTCTTTTTATGTGTTGTATCACATTTATTGACTTGCATATGTTAAACCATCCCTGTATCCCTGGTATGAAACACATTCGATCATGGTGGATTATCTTTTTGATATGTTGTAGGATTCAGTTAGCTAGTGTTTTGTTAAGGATTTTAGCATCTATAGTAATCAGGGATATTGGTCTGTAGGTTTTTTTTTTTAATGTCATTACCTGGTTTTTGTTGGTATAAAGGTGATACTGTCTTCATAGAATGAATTAGGTGGGGTCCCCTCTTTCTCTATCTTGTGGAATAATATCACTATTCTTTGAATGTCTGGTAGAATTCTGCTGTGAATCCATCTGGTCCTGGGCTTTTTTTGTTGGCAATTTTTTAATTACAATTTCAATCTCACTACTTTCTATCAGTCTGTTCAGGATATCTTATTCGTCCTGATTTAAGCCAGGAGGATTGTATTTTTCCAGAAATTTATCCATCTCTTCTAGGTTTTCTAGTTTATGCTTGTAAAGGTGTTCATTGCAGCCTTGGATGATCTCTTATATTTCTGCGGAATCAGTTGTAATATCTCCTATTTCATTTCTTATTGAGGTTATTTCGATTTTCTCTCTTCTTTTCTTGGTTAATATTGCTAATGGTCTATCAATTTTATTTATCGTTTCAAATAACCAGATTTTTGTTTCATTTATCTTTTGTATTGTTCTGTTTTTCATTTTAATTTCATTTAATTCTGCTCCGATCACGGTTACTTCCTTTCTCCTGCTGGGTTTGGGTTTTGGTTTGTTCTGGTTTCTCTAGTTCCTCGAGATGTGACCTTAGATTGTCTGTTTGTGCTCTTTCAGACTTTTTGATGTAGACATTTAGGCCTATGAACTTTCCTCTTAGCGCTGCCTTTGCTGTGTCCCAGAGGTTTTGATAGGTTGTGTCACTATTGTCGTTCAGTTTGAATAATTTTTTAAATTTCCATCTTGATTTTATTTTTGACCCAATGATCATTCAGGAGCAGGTTATTTAATTTCCATGTATTTGTGTGGTTTTGAAGGTTCTTTTTGGAGTTGATTTCCAGTTTTTTTCCACTGTGGTCTGAGAGAGTACTTGATTTAATTTTCATCTTCTGAAATTAATTGAGGCTTATTTTGTGGCCTATCTCATAGTCTATCTTGGAGAAAGTTCCATGCACTGTTGAATAGAATGTATATTCTGTGGTTGTGGGATGGAATGTGCTGTATATATCTGTCCATTTGTTCCATATTATAATTTAAGTGCATTGTTTCTTTGTTGACTTTCTGTCTTGATGACCTGTCTAGTGCTGTCAGTAGAGTATTGAAGTCCCTCACTATTATTGTGTTGCTGTCTATCTCATTTCTTAGGAATATTAGTTATTGTTTTATAAATTGGTGAGCTGCAGTGTTAGGTGCATTTATGTTTAGGGTTGTGATATTCTTCTGTTGGACAAGGCCTTTTATCATAATATAATATCCCTCTTTGTCTTTTTTAACTGCTACTGTTTTAGAGTTTGTTTTGTCTGATATAAGAATAGCTACTCTGGCTCGTTTTGGTGTCCATTTGCATGAAATGTCTTTTCTCACTCCTTTACCTTAAGTTTGTGCAAGTCCTTATGTGTTAGATGAGTCTCTTTGCACCAGTGCCATGCTGTTTTGGTGACCTTGGCCTTATCGTATAGTCTGAAGGTGGTTGGTTGGTGAATTCTTATCTATTCTGCAATTCTGTATCTTTTAATTGGAGAATTTAGGCCATTTACATTCAATGTTAGTATTGAGATGGGAGATACCATTCCATTCATCAGGCTATTTGTTGCCTGTATGCCTTGTTTTCTGGTTTTTGTTTTTTTTTTTAAATTGTATTATTGTTTTATAGGTCCTGTGAGATTTATGCTTTCAAGAGGTTCTGTTTTGATGTGTT